>NC_000003.12:170675270-170826786 GCF_000001405.40 Homo sapiens | reverse complement strand
TTGTCTATAGGCTACATGAACAAAATGCCTCACCTATTTCATTTTTCAAAAGTCTGTGGATGCTGTTATGATTCCTAAAATGTAATTTTAAAAATATCCATTTTGAATATATGGTAGCTTTGGTCATTCTATATGTTCTCAATCACTGGATGATAAAAGTATCACTATGCTAATAGATGGCATCCTCCCTCTCCACCTCCCCCCTCTTTTTAAACTTTTTTTTTTAAACAAAAAAACCACCTCTGATTGGAATAGGCTTGGACTGTCTGACCTGGAACTGGAGCCTTGTCCTAAGCTAAGGAGACAGGAAGGATCTAGGTGGCCAGAAGACCGGGTAAGCCTTGGCTTTGGGATTAGGGATGAGAAAAAGAAAGTGACAACAGGAGAATGTGCCCCCATCTCCCCCCGCCCCCAGTACAAATGTGTGGGGTTAGTTTGGGCTAGGCTCCCCCTAGGACAGTGAAGCAAAGTGACAGCAAATGAGCAACAACCTCAAAGCAAAGCTGGCTGTGTGAGGAAAAACCAGATTCTGCCATAGACTGGGAGATTTGGAATTCCTTCCACAGGCGGAATTGTAATTCTATTTGCTTTACCCCCTCCCACATTCTCCACTTCCTTTTGGTTTCCCCTCTGCTCATCTTTCCTTCTTTCTCAGTTCTTCATCTTTTCACACCCAGGGAGAAACCTGATTCCAGTAGTGAGAAAAACTTGTGAAACAAATATTTTTGTTGTATTACAAATCGGTTGTCATTTGTTTCCCATTTCCGCTGACTATTTACATCTGCCTCCCTGCCTGGCTTTATTTGGAGGCGGGGGAATGTGTAGTCAAGCCTTAGTACACGAACTAAAACAGGGATGACTCCAGAGCAGTACAACATGATCAATTAAGATGCTTGCTCTTAAAAAAACTTTGGCTATATACCTTTTTTTTAAAACAAACAAACAAACAAACAAAAACAACAGAGTCTTGCTCTGTTGCCAAGGCTGGAGTACTATGGCACAATCTTAGCTCACTGCAACCTCCACGTCCTGGGTTCAAGCAATTCTCCTACCTCAACCTCCCAAGTAGCTGGGACTACAGGCACCCATCACCACGCCCGTCTGATTTTTTTGTATTTTTAGTAGAGATGGAGTTTCGCCAATTTGGCCAGGCTGGTCCCGACCTCCTGACCTCAGGTCATCCACCCACCTTGGCCTCCCACAGTGCTGGGATTACAGGCGTGAGCCGCCGTGCCTGGCTGGCAATATACTTTTTTTTTTTTTTGAGACGGAGTCTCGCTCTGTCGCCCAGGCTGGAGAGCAGTGGCACAATCTCGGCTGACTGCAAGCTCCGCCTCCCGGGTTCATGCCATTCTCCTGCCTCAGCCTCCCGAGTAGCTGGGACTACAGGCGCCCGCCACCATGCCCGGCTAATTTTTTCTATTTTTAGTAGAGACGGGGTTTCACCGTGTTAGCTAGGATGGTCTCGATCTCCTGACCTCTTGATCCACCCGCCTCGGCCTCCCAGAGTGCTGGGATTACAGGCGTGAGCCACCACGCCTGGCCAGCAATATACTTTTTAACCATTTGAAGGGTGTTTTCTGAAGACCATATGGATACAAATGGAGTCTTGCCAGCTGCAACCAACTTTGTAATGTAACAAGTTTTACAGATATATGCCATTCTTGGAACTTTGAATTGCACTGTAGATACTACTTTATGTCTTGCTTTATTTTACTTAATATTTTGTTGTGTAAATTTTCCTTGTTATAAAATTTATTCATAGAGGAAAACATCTTTCATGGTCACATTCTATACTCCAGTGTGTAAGGTAGTAATATGCATGTAATCACCCTTCATTTGTTGTATATTTAGGTTAGTCCCAGTACTTACTAATATAATCCATGCTGTGATGGCCATCTTTGTGAACAAAACCACCACCTGCATTTGTGGCCCTTTCCATGGGACAGTCACTTGAAGTGACAACTCCTTGGCCAAAGAATATGAACATTTTGTGGGCTCTTAACCCATCTTGCCAAATTGTTTTCCAGAAAAGTTGTACCGTCTCACTACTCCACACCTACTACCCCTACCCTGTCTCCAGTCTCCACATGAGTATAAAAATAAAATGTGAAATGCTTGGTATACAGTACTTGGCAACTACTAGTGACTCTGTAAATGGTAGTTGATGGTGACGTTGCTGATGAATGAGTTTATTATCACTGTTACCTCTTCCTTTTCTCAGACTTGGTGTAGGGCCACAGTGCTTCTATAGTGCTCTAGGGTTTTCTCTGTTGTACATCATCTGCATGTCCAGAATCACCCATTTATGTCCCCGTGGTGCACTCCCAAGGAACTGAGTGGCTAAACTGATACATTTCTTGAAACAAGGGTCATTTTAAGAAAAACGGCTTACAGGTTTACCAGCCGTGGATTTTCAATTAGTGTCTTAAGACCAAACTCAGTGGTTCTGAGCTCAGGCCATATAATAGGGTCACCTGGGAGATTTGTACACAATACTAAAGCATGGCCTTTGTTGAAGGGAAGGCCTGGGCATTGGCATTTAAAAAATTCTTCCCAGGCAATTCATTTTTTTTGAGATGGAGTCTTGCTCTGTCGCCCAGGCTGGAGTGCAGTGGTGCAATCTCGGCTCACTGCAACCTGCAACCTCTGCCTCCCAAGTTCAAGCAATTCTCCTGCCTCAGCCTCTCGAGTAGCCCAGGCAATTCTTATGTAAGTGAGGGATGAGAACCACCCCCTTAACCCAAAAGGGAAGTCATTTGGGAATTATAGTTGTCATGTGGGACCTAGTGGGAGACTTATTTAGAAGCTAGGTGTCCTTCATGATCTTTCCCAAAGATTAAACCATGAACACTGGATGAAACCTTAAGGGTCCATGATACCTCAACAGGTTGGCAAGTATTAACTAACATTCTGCCAGATAAATCAATGAACTCTTTCTAGAAAAGCTCTGATTCTCTCTGTGTTTATAATAACTTTCATAATACCCTCCCGAAGAAGAAACTGAAGCTCAAAATGGTGAATTTGTCAGGCCTCTGAGCCCAAGCTAAGCCATCATATCCCCTGTGACCTGCACGTACACACCCAGATGGCCAGTTCCTGCCTTAACTGATGACATTCCACCACAGAAGAAGTGAAAATGGCCTGTTCCTGCCTTAACTGATGACACTGTCTTGTGAAATTCCTTCTCCTGGCTCATCCTGGCTCAGAAGCTCCCCTACTGAGCACCTTGTGACCCCCACTCTGCCTGCCAGAGAACCCCCATTTGACTGTAATTTTCCTTTATCTACCCAAATCCTATAAAACGGCCCCACCCCTATCTCCCTTCTCTGACTCTCTTTTCAGACTCAGCCAGCCTGCACCCAGGTGATTAAAAGCTTTATTGCTCACACAAAGCCTGTTTGGTGATTTCTTCACACAGACTCACATGAAATTTGGTGCCATGACTCGGATCGGGGGACCTCCCTTGGGAGATCAATCCCCTGTCCTCCTGTTCTTTGCTCCGTGAAAAAGATCCACCTACGACCTCAGGTCCTCAGACCCACCAGCCCAAGGAACATCTCACCAATTTTAAATCAGGTAAGTGGCCTCTTCTTACTCTCTTCTCCAACCTCTCTCACTATCCCTCAACCACTTTCTCCTTTCCACTCTTCAGTCTCTCCCTTCTCTTAATTTCAATTCCTTTCATTTTCTGGTAGAGACAAAGGAGACACGTTTTGTCTGTGGACCCAAAACTCCGGCGCCGGTCACGGACTGGGAAGGCAGCCTTCCCTTGGTGTTTAATCATTGCAGGGACACCTCTCTGATTATTCACCCACGTTTCAGAGGTGTCAGACCACGCAAGGATGCCTGCCTTGGTCCTTCACCCTTAGCGGCAAGTCCCGCTTTTCTAGGGGAGGGGCAAGTACCCCAACCCCTTCTCTCCATGTCTCTACCCCTTCTCTGCCTTTCTGGGGGGCAAGAAACCCCCAATCCCTTCTCCTTCACCCTTAGTGGCAAGTCCCGCTTTTCTGGTGGAGAGGCAAGTACCCCAACCTCATATCTCTGTGCCCCGATCCCTTATTTCTGTGCCCCGACCTCTTATATCTCTGCGCCCTGATCCCTTATTTCTGCGGCCCGACCTCTTATATCTCTGTGCCCTGATCCCTTATTTCCGCTCCCCACCCTCTTATATCTCTGTCTCCTGATCCCTTATTTCCATGCTCCGACCTCATATCTCTGCGCCCTGACCCCTTTCCTGCTTTTCTGGAGGGTAAGAACCCCCGAACCCCTTCCCTCCATGTCTCCACTCTCTCTTTTCTCTGGGCTTGCTTCCTTCACTATGGGCAACCTTCCACCTTCCATTCCTCCTTCTTCTCCCTTAGCCTGTGTTCTCAAAAACTTAAAACCTCTTCAACTCACACCTGACCTAAAACCTAAATGCCTTATTTTCTTCTGCAATGCCACTTGACCCCAATACAAACTCGACAGTAGTTCCAAATAGCCAGAAAACAGCACTTTCAATTTTTCCATCCTGCAAGATCTAAATAATTCTTGTCCTAAAATGGGCAAACGGTCTGAGGTGCCTGATGTCCAGGCATTCTTTTACACATCGGTCCCTTCCTAGTCTCTGTGCCCAGTGAAACTCATCCCAAATCTTCCTTCTTTCCCTCTCGCCTGTCCCCTCAGTCCCAACCCCAAGCGTCGCTGAGTCTTTCTAATCTTCCTTTTCTACAGACCCATCTGACCTCTCCCCTCCTCCCCAGGCTGCTCCTCGCCAGGCCGAGCTAGGTCCCAATTCTTCCTCAGCCTCCGCTCCTCCACCCTATAATCTTTTTATCACCTCCCCTCCTCATACCCGGTCCGGTTTACAGTTTCATTCCGTGAGTAGCCCTCCCCCACCTGCCCAGCAATTTCCTCTTAAAAAGGTGGCTGAAGCTAAAGGCATAGTCAAGGTTAATGCTCCTTTTTCTTCATCAGACCTCTCCCAAATCCTGAGCATTTAGGCTCTTTCATCAAATATGAAAAACCCAGCCCAGTTCATGGCTTGTTCAGCAGCAACCCTGAGACGCTTTACAGCCCTAGACCCTGAAAGGTCAAAAGGCCGTCTTATTCTCAATATACATTTTATTACCCAATCTGCTCCTGACATTAAATAAAACTCCAAAAATTAAATTCCGGCCCTGAAACCCCACAACAGGGCTTAATTAACCTCACCTTCAAGGTGTACAATAATAGAGACAGCCAAGTAGCAACATATTTCTGAGTTGCAATTCCTTGCCTCCACTGTGAGACAAACCCCAGCCACATCTCCAGCACACAAGAACTTCCAAACACCTAAACTGCAGTGGCCAGGTGTTCCTCCAGAACCGCCTTCCCCAGGAGCTTGCTATAAGTGCCAGAAATCTGGACACCAGGCCAAGGAATGCCCACAGCCCGGGATTCCTCCTAAGCCATGTCCCATCTGTGCGGGACCCCACTGGAAATTGGACTGTTCAACTCACCTGGCAGCCACTCCCAGAGCCCCTGGAACTCTGGCCCAAGGCTCTTTGACTGACTGCTTCCCAGATCTCGGCTTAGCAGCTGAAGACTGCCACTGCCAGATCGCCTCGAAGCCTACAAGACCATTACAGACACTCTGGGTAACTCTCACAGTGGAAAGTAAGTCCGTCCCCTTCTTAATCAATACGGAGGCTACCCACCCCACATTACCTTATTTTCAAAGGCCTGTTTCCCTTGCTTCCATAACTGTTGTGGGTATTGATGGCCAGGCTTTTAAACCTGTTAAAACTCCCCAACTCTGGTGCCAACTTAGACAATATTCTTTTAAGCACTCCTTTTCAGTTATCCCCACCTGCCCAGTTCCCTTATTAGGCCGAGATATTTTAACCAAATTATCTGCTTCCCTGACTATTCCTGGACTACAGCCGCATCTCACTGCTGCCCTTCTCCCCAACCCAAAGCCTCCTTCGCGTCTTCCTCTCATATCCCCCCACCTTAACCCACAAGTATGGGACATCTCTACTCCTTCCCTGGCAACAGATCACATGCCCATTACCATCCCATTATAACCTAATCACCCTTACCCCGCTCAACACCAATATCCCATCCCATAGCACGCTTTAAAAGGATTAAAGCCTGTTATCACTCGCCTGCTACAGCATGGGCTTCTAAAACCTATAAACTCTCCTTACAATTCCCCCATTTTACCTGTCCTAAAACCGCACAAGTCTTACAGGTTAGTTCAGGATCTGCGCCTTATCACCCAAATTGTTTTGCCTATCCACCCTGCGGTGCCCAACCCGTACACTCTTTTGTCCTCAATACCTTCCTCCACAACTCACTATTCCATTCTTGATCTTAAAGATGCTTTTTTCACTATTCCCCTTCACCCCTCGTCCCAGCCTCTCTTTGCTTTCACCTGGACTGACCCTGACACCCATCAGTCCCAGCAGCTTACCTGGGCTGTGCTGCCGCAAGGTTTCAGGGACAGCCCTCATTACTTCAGCCAAGCTCTTTCTCATGATTTACTTTCTTTCTACCCCTCCGCTTCTCACCTTATTCAATATATTGATGACCTTCTTCTTTGTAGCCCCTCCTTTGAATCTTCTCAACAAGACACACTTCTGCTCCTTCAGCATTTATTCTCCAAAGGATATCGGGTATCCCTCTCCAAAGCTCAAATTTCTTCTCCATCCGTTACCTACCTTGGCATAATTCTTCATAAAAATACACGTGCTCTCCCTGCTGATCGTGTTGGACTAATCTCTCAAACCCCAACCCCTTCTACAAAATAACAACTCCTTTCCTTCCTGGGCATGGTTGGATATTTTCGCCTTTAGATACCTGGTTTTGCCATCCTAACAAAACCATTATATAAACTCACAAAAGGAAACCTAGCTGACCCCATAGATCCTAAATCCTTTCCCCACTCCTCTTTCTGTTCCTTGAAGACAGCTTTAGAGACTGCCCCCACTCTAGCTCTCCCTGACTCATCCCAACCCTTTTCATTACACACAGCCGAAGTGAAGGGCCGTGCAGTCAGAATTCTTACACAAGGACCGGGATCACGTCCTGTAGCCTTTTTGCTCAAACAACTTGACTTTACTGTTTTAGGCTGGCCATCATGTCTCCGTGCAGCGGCTGCTGCCGCCCTAATACTTTTAGAGGCCCTTAAAATCACAAACTATGCTCAACTCACTCTCTACAGCTCTCATAATTTCCAAAATCTATTTTCTTCCTCACACCTGACACATACACTTTCTGCTCCCCAGCTCCTTCAGCAGTACTCACTCTTTGTTGAGTCTCCCACAATTACCATTGTTCCTGGCCCGGACTTCAATCCAGCCTCCCACAGTATTGCTGATACCACACCTGACCCTCATGACTGCATCTCTCTGATCCACCTGACGTTCACCCCATTTCCCCACATTTCCTTCTTCCCTGTTTCTCACCCTGATCACAGTTGGTTTATTGATGGCAGTTCCACCAGGCCTAATCGCCACTCACCAGCAAAGGCAGGCTATGCTATAGTACAAGCCACTAGCCTGCCTCTTAAAACCTCTCATTTCCTTTCCATTGTGGAAATCTATCCTCAAGGAAATAACTTCTCAATGTTCCATCTGCTATTCTACTACTCCTCAGGGATTATTCAGGCCCCCTCCCTTCCCTACACATCAAGCTCGAGGATTTGCCCCCACCCAGGACTGGCAAATTAGCTTTACTCAACATGCCCCGAGTCAGATAACTAAAATACCTCTTAGTCTAGGTAGATACTTTCACTGGATAGGTACAGGCCTTTCCTACAGGGTCTGAGAAGGCCACTGCAGTCATTTCTTCCCTTCTGTCAGACATAATTCCTCAGTTTAGCCTTCCCACCTCTATACAGTCTGACAACGGACCAGCCTTTATTAGTCAAATCAGACAAGCAGTTTTTCAGGCTCTTAGTATTCAGTGAAACCTTTATATCCCTTACGGTCCTCCGTCTTCAAGAAAAGTAGAACGGACTAAAGGTCTTTTAAAAACACACCTCACCAAGCTCAGCCACCAACTTAAAAAGGACTGGACAATACTTTTACCACTTTCCCTTCTCAGAAGTCAGACCTGTCCTCAGAATGCCACAAGGTACAGTCCATTTGAGCTCCTGTATGGACACTCCTTTTTATTAGGCCCCAGTCTCATTCCAGACACCAGACCAACTTAGACTGTGCCCCAAAAAAACTTGTCATCCCTACTATCTTCTGTCTAGTCATACTCCTATTCACTGTTCTCAACTACTCATACATGCCCTGCTCTTGTTTACACTGCCGGTTTACACTGTTTCTCCAAGCCATCACAGCTGATATCTCCTGGTACTGTCCCCAAACTGCCACTGTAAACTCTTGAAGTAAATAAATAATCTTTGCTGGCAGGACTATGCTGAATCTCCTTAGGCACTCTCTAATCAGATGTCCTGGGTCCTCCCAATTCTTAGACCTTTTATACCTGTTTTTCTCCTTCTCTTATTCCATTTAGTTTTTCAATTCATACAAAACTGTATCCAGGCCATCTCCAATAATTCTACACGACAAATGTTTCTTCTAACAACCCCACGACATCACCTCTTACCACAAAATCTTCCTTCAGCTTAATCTCTCCCACTCTAGGTTCCCACGCTGCCTCTAATACCGCTTGCAGCAGCCCTGAGAAACATCGCCCATTATCTCTCCACACCACCCCCAAAAATTTTCACCATCCCAACACTTTACCACTATTTCATTTTATTTTTCTTATTAACATAAGAAGACAGGAATGTCAGGCCTCTGAGCCCAAGCTAAGCCATCATATCCCCTGTGACCTGCAGGTACACACCCAGATGGCTGGTTCCTGCCTTAACTGATGACATTCCACCACAAAAGAAGTGAAAATGGCCTGTTCCTGCCTTAACTGATGACATTGTCTTGTGAAATTCCTTCTCCTGGCTCATCCTGGCTCAAAAGCTCCCCTACTGAGCACCTTGTGACCCCCACTTTGCCCGCCAGAGAACAACCCCCCTTTGACTGTAATTTTCCTTTATCTACCCAAATCCTATAAAATGGCTATACCCTTATCTC
Source organism: Homo sapiens (assembly GCF_000001405.40). Lineage (NCBI taxonomy): Eukaryota > Metazoa > Chordata > Mammalia > Primates > Hominidae > Homo > Homo sapiens. The sequence goes on along the minus strand of NC_000003.12, from coordinate 170,817,715 downwards.
CTTTCTCTGACTCTCTTTTCGAACTCAGCCTGCCTGCACCCAGGTGAAATAAACAGCCATGTTGCTCACACAAAGCCTGTTTGGTGGTCTCTTCACACTGAGAACCACCCCCCTTAACCCAAAAGGGAAGTCATTTGGGAATTCCAGTTGCCATGTGGGACCTAGTGGGAGACTTATTTAGAAGCTAGGTGTCCTTCATGGTGTTTCCCAAAGATTAAACCATGAATACTGGATGAAACCTTAAGGGTCCATGATACCTCAACAGGTTGGCAAGTATTAACTAACATTCTGCCTGCTTGAGAGGCCAGATACATCAATGAACTCTTTCTAGAAAAGCTGATTCTCTCTGTGTTTATAATAACTTTCATCATACCCCCCCGAAGAAGAAACTGAAGCTCAAAGTGGTGAATTAACTTGCTCTGAGTCTCTAGCAGCAAGAGACCAATTTGAGAATCACATCCAGGAATCTAAATTCCATGCTCTTTCTGCCACATCATGTTGCCCTTAAAAAATTACATCCATCTTTTTGTACTCATGTAACTGATTTTGATTTTATTTTTTTGCTACATGGGGCTGACTTGGCTCCTCATTTTCAAAGAAGCTTGCCAATAAAAGTGCTCCCCGAACCAACAAACAATAGTTGTATTTTGATCAGATATTATAGGTGTGTCTGAGACACAGCCCAGGAGGAATGTGGCTGTATCTATTCATCTCTTTATAAATATTGATGAAGAATGGTAAAAATGTTTTAAAGGAAACTTTATCTGAAGGAGTGTCTTGGAACGCAGCTGCTTCTTTCCATGTCTTTCATATTTCTTACCCCTGGCACTGAAATCCAAACACTGAAGGGTGGGCCACATCCTAGGGTTTGTTTATGACTGTGGCATCAGCAGTTCTGTATTGGGTTGGCTTTGGGGGAGGGTGGCCCCAGCAATTACCATTGGCATACCTGGTCATTGTCCCTGAGCTGTGACAAAAAAATAACACGGTAGCTCCACAGAGGGAGTTCTGAGTTGCAGATAATTTTATGAACGCCCTTTATTTCAAGGATATGAGAAAAGAAAAAGCCCATTTTGTAGCAAAGAAAACTGAGGTGAAGAAACATTGCTTAGCTTGCCTGAGGACACAGTAACACTGGCACATGTTGGAAGGGAAGTCAGGCCTTCAGGGGTGTGTTACTCTGGGGCCTGCTCCACTACTCATCATTTTCCTTTATTAGTTTCTCATTTAAAAGTTGAGGACAAAGAAGTATGCACAAAGAGGTTTCTCCTTCCTTAGTTACAACAGCAAAATTGAAAACAATTTAAATGGCCAACAGTAGGAAATGTTTAAGAGAAAAAATGTGGTCTATTTATTCTATGAAATATCTAAATATTAAAAACAATAGTTAAAAAATAGTTTGTAATGACTTGGAAAATGCTTTAGTAGAAATTTAGTAGAAATTATCTTTCTGCTGCTTTTTCATCTTCTGGACCTCTGAGCCCATGGTACTCAAAATGCAGTCCTCCCACTGGCCAGCAACATCAACTTCGAGCATGTGAGAAATGTAGAATCTCAGGCCCTAGCGCTGCTGAATCAGCATCAGCATTTGAGCACCATCCCCACGTGATTTACATCACATTAATATTTGTACCTATCTGAGTAAGGAGTCTCAAAGATTCAGTCCTCAGGCAACTTCTCAACTCTGAATACATCTGTGCCTTAAGTTAGTGATTCTGGTGGCATGTTAAGTTTGGTTAAGTTTGGCATGTTAATGGTGGCATTCTATTGCTCTGGGATGTGGCCATGGGGCATAGCACTTGTGTAAGTAACTCAGATGTTTCAAAAATACAGATGAGGTCAAGATCTACCATCTGTGTCAGTGGTGCCCAAACTTTTTGGCACCAGGGACTGGTTTCATGGAAGATAATTTTTCGATGGATGGAGAGGCAGATGGGGGATTGTTTCAGGATGAAACTGTCCCACCTCAGATCATGAGGCATTAGAGTCTCATAAGGAGCACACAACCTAGATCCCTCCCATGCACAGTTCACAGTAGAGCTCCTGCTCTATGAAAATCTAATGCCGCTGCTGATCTGACAGGAGGCGGAGCTCAGGTGGTAATATGAGCCACGGGAGTGACTGTAAACACAGATGAAGCTTGCCTGCCGCTCACCTCCTGCTGTGCCGTGTGGTTCCTAACAGGCCACAGACTGGTAAAAGTCCTCGGCCCGGGGGTTGGCGACCCCTGGTCTACATGATTTCCCCTGTGATACAGTTTTAAGCAGAAAATTCATGATACCAAGTTGTAGGTTCTATGTGTTATTAACTATGGAAAAATGCATACAGAAAAAGACTGGAAGAAAATATACCAAAATATTAATCATTATAAAAATTGAGCTGGGTCCAATGGCTCAGGCCTATAATCCCAGCACTTTGGAAGGCGAAGCAGGTGGATGGCTTGAGTCCAGGAATTCAAGACCAGGGCAACATGGCAAAACCCCATCTCTACAAAAAAAGTTAGCCAGATGTGGTGCTGTGTCTGTAGTCCCAGCTACTCGGGAAGCTGGGAGTTGGGAGGATTGCTTGAACCCAGGAGATTGAAGCTGCAGTGAGCTGTGATCACGCCACTTTACTCCAGCCTGGGCAAGAGAGTGAGGCCATCCAGAGAGAGAGAGAGGCAGAGAGAGAGAGAGAGACAGAGAGAGAGAGAGATGCATTCTTTTGAGGAGGAGTTGGTTTCTTCATATTTTTCTTTATAGTGGTCATAAATCTCAGGCCACAGACTCAGATGTGCAAGAGACATTAACTTTATTCTTTCATACGCCAACTTAATTTCTACTTAGTTCCTCAATCTGCTTGTGGTGAAAACTTTTCAGTCACTTCAGAGGGACCTCTGTCAAATCAAGTTTTGCTCAGTCAAGCTGCCACTAACCTATGGCATCATTGTGCAAATTAGAAAAAGATCCCCTTCCAGGAGGGTGCAGCCCCGCGCCAACACAAACTAGATTTCTGCCTACACCTGCTTCTTAAGCTAGGGGTCCCTGTGCAGTGAATAGTATGCATTTCTGTGTATGGTGGTTCTGGGGACAGCTAATGTAGGACCCCAATTCTTTATCCAGCATTGCAGGTAAATTCCAAGAAGCTTTCAGGTGGCACTGGACTGAATAGAGAGAGGCCACGGAGGGCATAAAGTCCCTGTAGCCTTCATCACTGACATTGTCCTTGCTAGTGTGCTCTGATTCCCATTAGGTCACCAAGGGAATTGGCTGAACAGACTAAGCTTTTTTGGGCTCGGCTCTCTCTCTAGACTTCTAAGCCCCTCTGGGAAATAACTGGCTGCTCCATGAGCCTCCGAGGGAACTCCATGAGATCACCTCAGCCTTGTCTGCCTGGATAGTCTTTGCAGCCATTCTTTAAGTTACATTTGGGGAAGCTGCATAATGGCTGCTGCCCTCCTGAACTTCAGTCACATGCCCCAAAGCTTCTATTCTTAGATATCTCAAACTTTCTTATGAGTTTTTTTTGCCACCTCTCCCTTCTCTAAGAATGGCTGGGGGCTAGAGGAGGAATGGGTAGGACATAAAGCCCTTCCTCAGTGCTATTCTTTTCTACGCAGGGGATCTGTTCCTCTGGGGTAGGCAAACTGCCTCTTGTATCATTTTGTACTCTTCCAGTCTATTGCTTATCCATGGGCTTCATGTCCTCCTCTAAGATTTACAAATCAAAACTTTGACTTAAGGCATTTCCTCTACTTTTCTCTAGTTTCACTCTTACCTGGCTTAGTGAGACGTAATGTTTTTGCAGGTGGTCTGATGTCTGTTATTAAAGGGAAATGCAAGGTTCACAGTGAGAACCCGACACTGGTTTTAGCTCATTCCTTGCAGGAAGCCTGATTTTTCTCACTCAATTTTGTTGGTCAAAATTTAATGAAGGCTGTAAAATCCAATGCAGGATGAGAAACACAACATTCATTCCTGGGTACTCATAGACATTCATGGAGACACTTAGGAGCATCACTTGGGTAGACAGGAGCACGTTCTTCTGCCTGACTACATCTTCCCTACTGAAATGCTGGTTTCGAGTTCACATACCCAGAGATCACTGAAAGCCAGGCACTGGGGAATGGCTAGTAGGGAGAATAGTACAGGGGAAAACACTTCACCCGTGGGTATTCACGAGCTTCCCCAGGAGTGTTTTTAGATCAGAAGACAACTGGTGAATTTCCAGGAACAGCTGCTTCAGTGCTGCCACATCCGTCAGCTCTCAACACGTGTTAGTGTCTGTCCTCCCTCCTTCTTTGGAATTTAGAACTGTGCCATGGTCTGGTTGCAGGAATCTCATTAAAGAGCTTCCCTTTCTGTATTAGTTTGCTAGGGCTGCCATTAACAAAATACCAGAGACTGGATGGCTTAAACAACAGAAATGTGTTTTCTCACAGTTCTGGAGGTTGGAAGTCCAAGATCATGGTGTGATCAGGTTGGTTTCTGGTAAGGCCTCTCTTCCTGTTCTTTGTAGACAGCCACTTTATTCCTGTGTCCTCACATAACCCTTTTTCTGTGAGCACGCAAGGAAAGAAATTTCTGGTGTCTCTTCTCCTTCCTATAAGAACCCCAGTCCTTCAGATTATAGACCAACCCTTAGGACCTCACTTAATCTTAATTACCTCCCTAAAGGCTTGAACTCCAAAAACAGTCACATTGGGAATTAGGAGTTTAACATCAGAATGGGCTTGGGGACTGGGAGAGTAGTTCAGTACTTTAACGCTTTCCCTGACAGAAAATTTTGTGATCACCTACTACATGTTGGGCCCTGTGCCACATGCTGGGGATAATAATTTATAAAAATGTTTCAACCCCTGCCTCAAGGAGCTCCTCCTCTGGGGACTGAGTCTGCAGCCATCAGAGGAGTGGGGTCACAATGAGATGTCTGGAAATGGACCTCTGTGGTAAGTGGGGATTCCTGCATGGCTTTTGCTATGATCGTATCTCAAGAAAGCAAATTCTGCAAATATTCTGAGTGGGTGGTAGTAGAGCTATTTTCTTGATGTGGCAGAGTCGCATACAAAAGCCCTTAAAGGGATCAATGAGACGAATTTCTGAGCTAGTCTGAAACAAGAACTGGGGATGAACTTTGGCAATTGGGCCAGAACTTAAACACAGGATTTTGCTGGGGTCCCAAGGTTCTGCCCATTTGGGACAATCTCTTTCACATGCGCCACACCATTCCCCTTACCACGCCAGCAGATTCAAAGAGGCAGCTTGGTACGTTTTGGTAGGTTTTGGGAGTGAGAAGGCCTGGGGTGGGGGTTGCGGCAAGAGGAGAGCAGCAACCCCTCTCACATTATCAGCTGTGCAGAACCAAGGAGAACCTAAGAAGATCCGCCAAACAGAAAAAGCTGAGATTATGCTTCACAGACCCAAAGACTTTTAAGCTCTTTATTAGCTGCAACAGAATCACCACATGGCAGTACAAAAATGTTCTTGAACTTGACACTTGAACTTGGCTGCAACCCTGCTGGTAAAACTTAGTAATTAGGCAAACAAAAAGCTGGGGAGTGCAATTACGGCCATTGAACCACTAGGGGGCACTCATGGTTTCTCATTCAGAAGAGGAGAGGGGAGGAGGAGGTTATAGGGCTATGGCTTAGGGTGGGGCATTCAGTGTGGTATTGGAGAGGGATGAAAGTTAAAGCTGTTTTGTGTGTTTGTTTTTTGGAGGGAGAGGTGTTAAAGACCTAGTTATTTCGCTAATAATATAGTATGCATTAACCTGGCCTTGACTTCTGTGAAGCTAGCGGGCCCAATAGACTAGCTGGTGGAGAGTTCTGGAGTGTGACATCCCAAACAAATAATTGTTCACTTTAAGATAACTTTCTTTCGTGGGCATTAGAAAAAGGGCATGTTTTGCATCACGAGGGAGAGCGTTTTACGCGCATGCACACACATACTAAACAGACACACCTACTGACTTAAAAACATCAACACACTGTCTGAATATTGCTTCAGGTTGGAAAACAAGGTTGCATCCAAATTGTGTCATCTTTTCAAAATACAGCTGGAGAGAAAATGCTGCCTATATTTCAGGGAGCTTTTAAATTTCAGTGACATACCAGTCTAGGCTGCCAAAAGCTAGAAGAACATGAGTCATCAAGCTAGGTGCACTGATCATAGGAAACACCAGGTCTCAGGCTCCAGCCATCCCCTATCCTCTTCCCTACCCCTACACAAATTTGTGGCTTGTGGCCAGTACCAGGATTTGCTGTTAGTCCCCATGTTCCCGGGGCCTCCTTTCCTCTAAGGTCTTCCAGCCATTGTAACTGGCTTTCTTCCCTTTTATACCTAATAGAGAACTGCTGAGGGCCTTCTTCTTTGTATTTGGGATTATCGGATCAAAAGATTGAAAGTGTGATTGCCAGGTTCTCCCAGAGCGTCCTGCATCCAGATTTGCCACCCTCATCTCATCTGCAGGAGGTGACAGTCAGAAGCAGAAGTTAGACCATGGGCAAGGGCCCTAAAATATTCATTAGGCAAAAGCAAGAAAGCTTGCCTGCCATTGGGGCAGGTGTTGGGCTTGAAACGTTCAGTGTCATTATCTCATTTAATTTTTACAACAATCTGCCAGTTGCTATTACCACCTCCATTTTACAGATAAGGAAACCGAGGACCAGAGAAGCTAAGTACCTTCATATAGATCTGGGATTTAAATTCAGGCATTCTGACTTAAAATTGAATGTATTTTTTAGTCCTAGCTACAAAGCCACTGTCTACCAGAACTACTTGAAATCTCCTTCCCTTTTCTCTGGCTTCTCCTTGTAATTGAGGATCTTACATTGGCAATGGTTATATGAATGATGACGATGATAATTACAATACCAGCTAACTTTTACTGATTACTTACTATAGGCCAAGCAATGTGCTCAACACCAAACTTTTATATCTTCAATTCTCACAGAAAATTTACCGTGAAGTTAGTATTTTTACTGCCATTTCATAGATGAGGCACCTGAAGCTTAGGAATGTTAAGAAATTTTTGCAAGATTACACACCCAAGTAGAGCCTGGTTTGGAACCTAGGTCTAATTGCCCCTAAGCCCGAGTATTTAAACCACTATGCTATACTGTGCATAGGGAGATAATTGAATCTATGGAGAAATACTCAGGGCTATAGTACTACTAATCAGACCTTTAAAAACTGAAAGAATAGTGAAAAGGGGTATAGTCATATCTTTATGTGGCATGGTATAATGATGAAGCTGGAAAAGAGTGCTTACATTCTAAAACAGGAAGCTTTCTAACCTTCCCTGCTTAGAAAAATAATCAACTCTGATTATTTCCATGTATTCTGTTCTTGAATTGGAAATTCCAGGAGTCTGGTTTTAATTGCATAGGAAGTCAACCTGGACTGTTATTGTTTGTCAGGAGTCTGTTTTATCATTTTTATGGTCAAGCAATGGACTTCATCACTAGGGATTTAGTTCATGTGTGTTTCTGTTTCAATGGATACTATCAAGTAATTAAGGTTGAGGGAATGAATGGCTACTTTATTGCTAAACGCTAGCATCTGGCTATAAAATGAGGAAAGAGGGAGTGGTCAGGGGAAAGTGGAAGTATGACTAACACTGAACTTCAGTTAATAGATCTGGACACATTGAACCTGAGTAAATAGGTCTGATATTCTCCTGCTTGCAATGCTGGGGATGAAGTAGATGAGCTCCTTCTCACCAGCACCTTGAAAAGAATCAGATATTAAACTAGAACTCAGCAACTACTCAGTATTATTGGAGTAATATTTTTAAACCCAAAGCATTTGAGTAGTTCCCTAACAATATTTCAAAGAACAAACAAAAAGATGTGTTCATCAGCAAGGTCAGATGTGTATCATCTGAATGCCTGCACTGTGAATAGCTCTGCTAATTGGTGAGCTGAGCATGAAGTGACTTGGATGATTAATTAAGGAGATAGGCCTTGAATAGGACGGAGGTGCATGGCCATTGTTGAGCACCTAAGGCAACAGCCTAAGGAGGAAAACTCACTGAAATTCCCTAGGTGGCAGCAGTGAACAAGGCGTTAGAAGGCCCCGAGGATGTGACAGCTCAGAGAAGGAGTATCTTCTAGGGGTCCAGGAGAAGCTGGATTTGCCATCTGGTTTAAGATTTTGAGGTGGGTGGAGATGGGTGTGGGAATGGGAGACAGTGTAGCACAGCGAAGAGTTAGAATCAGTAAGCCTTCTTAGTCCAGCTCTGCCGATCACTGGCTGTGTGGCCTCGGGACAACTGTTCTGTCAGCAACCTCCACCCACCCCCATTTCCTCCTCCCACAAATGGGGCTAGGTGAGGTCATCCCTGGGTACCTTTTGGCATTATATGATTCACAATTTGATGATGCCTCTGGCATTTTCATTGCACTCTTTACAATGAAAGAACTTGATTACCTTGGTTGGGACGTGGAGGAGAGGGTTGTATGTGTGTATTCCAGAGAGATGCATTATGCTACTGTCTTTTTAGCAGTGTTCTCTGTCTGGAGAATATGCTGATCTTTGCAAACTAGAACAATATTGTTGTCCTACCATTAGCGCAGGTAGGTTTTATATGGTTGACATAATTCGCTCACCTATCGCGCACTCTCAACCGTACGCCCTTGCAGTCCCGCAGCTGTGCTCATAAGGGACAGAGCTTTTTAGCACTCTCTTCCAGCCAACTGAGTTTTTGGCTATGTCTTGGTAGTTATAATATCTTTGTTCTTTTTACGTGGTGCCAGGCACTTTGTTAAGCCCATAATACCTCACAAACATACAGCTCTTTTATTCTACCTTCAAGTAGCTTTTAATTATCTTTGTTTAAACAAACCAATCTCTCAAACCCAATTCACCTTAATAATAACTAATATGTACAAATGTTTATTATGTGCCAGGCATATATGTGTGTCCTGAATATGTTATTCTATTTAACCCTTAAAATAAGCCTATGGATTAATACTAGTACTTTACATTATCTGTAGATGGAAATTGAGGCCTAGAGAGGTTAAATAACTTGCCCAAGGCCACAAGACTGATACACAGCAGAACCAGGGTTTGAACCCAGGAAGTCTGTCTCTAGGATCCTCCAAGACACTGCACTTGAAAAAGGGCTAGTGATTTATGCACATGGCTTCTTTTCTTCTCCACTAGATTAAATATAGGTTTTTTTGTTTTTGTTTACTTTTTCAATTTGTTAATTTGCTACAGAGACACTGTATTAGTTCGTTCTCACACTGCTATGAAGAAATACCCAAGACTGGGTAATTTATAAAGACATGAGGTTTAATTGATTCACAGTTCCGCATGGCTGGGGAGCCCTCGGGAAACTTATAATCATGGTGGAAGGCACCTCTTCACAGGGCAGCAAGAGAGAGAATGAGTGCCAGCAGGGGAAATACCAGACATTTGTAAAACCATCAGATCTCATGAGAACTCCCTCACTATCATGAGAACAGCATGGAGGAAATCACCCCCGTGATTCAATTGCCTCCCACCGGGTCGCTCCCACAACATGTGGGGATTATGGGAATTACAACTCAAGATGAGAACTGGGTGGGGCCATAGCCAAACCATATCAGACACTCTGATTTAATTTTGTTCTCTTCCTAGGATCTATAGTTTGGGAATGTCATCACAATAACAAATCCCACCACCACCTCACTAAGATAATTTGTCTCCCCACTAACATTTATTTTAAAAGTCTTTTTTTTTTTTTTTTTTTTTTTGAAACAGTGTCTCGCTCTGTCACCTAGGCTGGAGTGCAGTGGCACGATCTCGGCTCACTGCAAGCTCCGCCTTCAGGGTTCACGCAATTCTCCTGCCTCAGCCTCCCGAGTAGCTGGGACTACAGGCACCCGCCACCACGCTTGGCTAATTTTTTTGTATTTTTAGCAGAGATGGGGTTTCACCATGTTAGCCAGGATGGTCTCGATCTCCTGACCTCGTGATCCACCCGCCTCAGCCTCCCAAAGTGCTGGGATTACAGGCGTGAGCCACCGCACCTGGCCAAAAGGTTTTTTTAAACCTATAGTAGAGGTTGGAGACAGTTATTTTTTGTGTGAGTTTGTGTGTATGTGTGTGTGCATGTGATTGCCAAGGAAATAGTCGCTGAAAAATGGAGAAACACCTTGATGAAAAAAAGGCAGACGCCTTTGGCAACACGTTGCAGGGTATCTGCCAGGGGAAGTTATAAGGATACAAGAAAAGAGATCCATGGCTTGAATGAGTTATTTGCAACAGGGCACAGAGATGAGAAACAGTGAAGAAGACACTGAACGGCAGGAAAGTCAACTGTGGAGTCAAAGGTACCCTCTTGAAAGAATACAGCTGGAGTCCAAGGTCACACTGCAGGAGCCCCAGTGAATTTTTCATGGCTAACTGGAGGACACTGACTGTACTTCTAAAGTTTTTTTTATCTTGACTATAGGATAATTGGTCTACTTTATAGATGTCTCTTATTTAATATTCTTTGGAGAATTTCTCTGTGGAGTTAGACTGGTATCACAAATTAGTGTCTCCATTTTTGAAATGGAGTAAATGAGGTTTGAAATGATTAAGCTACTGGTCTGCAGCTCACCACAGCCTGATGTTACCAGGAAAATAGCTCTTCATTCTGGTGGAGTTTCCTCTCCTCTCTATTCTATCTTCTTCCCTGAGTTTCAGCGAAGACTCAGGTGTTTATGTGATGTCTGTCTGGGGCCAAGGTAAGCATGGAATATGGTTTCTGCATATTTTGTTCAGTATTTGTGCATCTCAGAGGTGTTCCAAATTCAGGCTCAGAGCCAAATTTGCCACTGGCCATTGGCTTCAGTTTCTCCAGAGGAGGAACTCACAGAATAGCCAAAGGTTTTCATTCCTCAGGAATTTAAATAACAATCTATCTTTGTTCATCAGGGAAGAAAGAAGCAAAGACTAATCTCTCAGCTGTGGGAGTTTATTACTTATATGTCACCATGTGGAGCACACTGTCCTCAGCTCAGTGATACTTGGCAAGTCAACAAAGTTTTTCTCCAGCATTGAACTGTTTACGTTGCACCTATTTTGACTGAAGGCTCATGCTATGTGCTTCCTCCACAGAGCCTCTCCCAGAGTTGTTCCTTGAAGGACGTTGGTAAAAAATACATATTAATCACAGGAACACCTGCAGTGCCAGAAAGGACTATAATTGGGAATAAGTGCCATTTGAGGTCTGTCCTTGCCTTCCCCAGTGTCTTATCAATACCCTAAGCCTTTGCTTGGGAGAGAGAGATTTCAAGTTTTCTGTTGATTTACTCTCATCTAAATGCTTGAGGGAAAACTCTTCAGTTCTAGGGGCAGTTGACTCAGCTAGGAGACATCACTTGACCTTCACCTTATATAAGATATCTTGACTTATTCAGGGTACTTTGAAATACTTGGCAATAGGCCAGGCGCGGTGGCTCACGCCTGTAATCCCAGCACTCTGGGAGTCCCAGGTGGGTGGATCACAAGGTGAAGAGATCAAGACCATCCTGGCCAACATGGTGAAACCTTGTCTCTACTAAAAATACAAAAAGCAGTGGGCATGGCGGCATGTGCCTGTAACCCCAGCTACTCGGGAGGCTGAGGCAGGAGAATTGCTTGAACCCGGGAGGTGGAGGCTGAGCTGAGATCACACCACTGTACTCCAGCCTGGATGACAGAGCAAGACTCTGTCTCAAAAAAAAAAAAAAAAAAAAAAAAAGAAAGAAAAAAAGAAAGAAAATTAAAAAGAAATACTTGGCAATAAATCTCATCATTTTACCATTCATTATTCTGAAGTCATTGGGCTATCTCTTTCAGAAATGCACACTTCCCTGGTATTATTTACATAGGTAATAGTAGGAAACACTGTTGATGTTTCTCCAGTATTTCACAGTACTGCAAAACTCTTTTTATTTTTATTTCGTTTTTCTATAACTTATTGGGGTAGAGGTGGTATTTGGTTACATGAGTAAGTTCTTTAGCGGTGATTTGTGAGATTTTGGTGGGCCCATCACCTGAGCAGTATACACTTCACCATATTTGTAGTCTTCCTTCCCTCACCCCCTCCCACTCTTCCCCCTAAGTCCCCAAAGTTCATTGCATCATTCTTATGCTTTTACATCCTCATAGCTTAGCTCCCACATATCAGTGAGAACTTACGATGTTTGATTTTCCATTCCTAAGTTACTCCACTTAAAATAATAGTCTCCAATCTCATCCTGGTTACTGCAAATGCTGTTAATTCATTCCTTTTTAATGGCTGCATAATATTCCATCATATATATATATTACAGTTTCTTTATCCACTTGTTGATTAATGGGCATTTGGGCTGCTTCCATATTTTTGCAATTGTGAATTGTGCTGCTATAAACATGCATGTGCAAGTATCTTTTTCAAATAATGACTTCTGTTCCTCTGGGTAGATACACAATAGTGGGATTGCTGGATCAAATGGTAGTTCTACTTTTAGTTCTTTAAGGAATCTCCACACTGTTTTCCATAGCAGCTCTACTAGTTTACATTCTCACCAGCAGTGTAGAAGTGTTCCCTGTTCACTGCATCCACGCCAACATCTACTGCTTTTTTATTTTTTGATTATGATCGTTTTTGCAGGAGTAAGGTAGTATCGCATTGTGGTTTTGATTTGCATTTCCCTGATCATTAGTGATGTTGAACATTTTTTCATATGTTTGTTGGCCATTTGTATATCTTCTTTTGAGAATTGTCTATTCATGTCCTCAGCCCACTTTTTGATGAGATTTTTTTTCCTTACTGATTTATTTGAGTTTCTCACTGATTTGTTGTAAATTCTGGATATTAGTCCTCTGTCAAATGTATAGATTGTAAAGATTTTCTCCTACTCTGTGGGTTGTCTGTTTACTCTGCTGACTGTTCCTTTTGCCGTGTAAAAGCTCTTCAGTTTAATTAGGTCCCAGCTATTTACCTTTGTTTTTATTGCATTTGCTTTTAGGTTCTTGGTCATGAAATCCTTGCCTAAGCCAATGTCTAGAAGGGTTTTTTCCAATGTTATCTTCTAGAATTTTTAATAGTTTCAGGTCTTAGGTTTAAGTCCTTAATCCATCTTGAGTTGATTTTTGCATAAGGTGAGAGACGATAATCCAGTTTCATTCTCCTACATGTAGTGAAATGATCTTCTTCTACATGCATCTCACTCTGCTTTTACTTCTCGCTTGCAGAGCAAGAGGGAGGAAAACTGCTGCTTCTATGATAGAAACACTGCAGACTGAGCCTTCATGGAACTTTCTGTAGATTTCCTCCAGGATGAAGGGCTTAGCATATGGAATTATAGATCTTCTGGGCTGAAGGTGACCTTAGACAAGCCTGGCTCCCTCTCATGCTGAGGAGGAGGCTGGAACCCAGAGGGTCACATGGCTGATAGATGTCTGAACTGTCTCCTGACTCCTAATCTAGTGCTCTGGCTTTGATCTACAGACCATAAACATGGCACCCCTTTTCAGCTCAAAGGACCAAACAGCTTTCTTGTTCCTCAGTAAATCATCACATTTGCACTGCAAAGCTTGTTTAAAATAGAGTGGGTGATTGTCATAACAACATGTGGTTAAAAAAAACAAAGTAGAAAGAAAAAGATGATGACTTTTGGGGAAGCTAGTTAGATTTTTGATAAAGAGGCCATTTTAGTTACTTTTAAAAGAAGTAGGGAAAATATTCTGTGCATTAAGCCTTTAAAGCAGAAAAGGAAAATTTAAATGTGATTTATTTATTTATTTATTTATTTATTTATTTATTTACCTACCTTCAAGATGATCAAAGGTTGAACTAATTTACATTTAGCTTTAGCTAAATGTAAAGAAAAAAAGTCATCTGAGATTGAATTTGAATTGAAATGGACTTTTCTGGTCACTGGGCAAGATTTTAAAGGAAGGAAGAAAATTGTTCCCCATTCCCATTCTCTAACAGAAATGTTAGCAAGCTTTGGGTTATTCATCTGAGAAATTTTTCTTAGCACCATTAAAACACATCAGTGAGTAGACTTTAAATCTCTACTGTAATGTATAGGAGATGAAAGGAATCATGTTTGGCATGCAGCTGTTTTATCAAAAATAAGGAACATGTAGTTCGTTTGTGAACAAAAGACTTTAGTTTTCGCAAATTGGGATGGGAGGCAGAGATTTAAAGGGCAGAGGCATAGCTGACTCCCAAGAAGACCCTGCAAAACTTGCAAACCTTCAAAAAATGACAGGTCCCTCAGTATCAATGTGAGGGCATTTGTCCATATAATGTAGAAAACAGTTGTCCTTCAGGGAACAGAATTTAAACTACAGATAGGTCATACAGAGTGAGGGCAGTGATTATTTCCCTGAGTCTTGTGATCTGCCTTTTTCTTTAAGTTGCACTCAGACTAGCAAACTGATGGGTGAGCAGTCCCACCTTTTTTTTTTTTTTTTTTTGAGACGGAGTCTCGCTCTGTCGCCCAGGATGGAGTGCAGTGGCGCGATCTCAGCTCACTGCAACTTCCACCTCCCGGATTCAAGCAGTTCATTACCTCAGCCTCCCGAGTAGCTGGGATAACAGGCGCCTGTCATCACGCCCGGCAAATTTTTGTATTTTTAGTAGAGACGAGGTTTCACTGTCTTGGCCAGGCTGGTCTTGAACTCCTGACCTCATGATCCACCCACCTCCACCTCCCAAAGTGCTGGGATTATAGGTGTGAGCCACCACGCTGGGCCTCCCCAGTATTTCCTGATAGGAATAGCTCACAGTGCCTAAACTATTTATGCAAACAATGTGGTTTACACTGAAAATCTGCTTCCCTTCTGGGAGTCTGGAATTTTGGTATGTGAAAACCCTGCGTGCTAAGTCTCAATGAACTTTTCTGGAAGACAACATTTTATGCATGTTGTCACAACTCATTGCTGGAAGAATTTAGCATGTGCTGTGCAATTCCACTGGGAGAAGATTCTTGGAGCGTGTGCCTGGCTTCCCCCAACATCACCCGATGTGTCTTTTATCTTTGCTGATTTACTGTGTATCTTTTCACTGCAATCAATTTTAGCCATGAGTACAACAATATGTTAAGTCATGTGAGTCCTCTTAGTGAATCATCTAAGCTGGGGGTGATCTTTGGGACACCACCCCCGTAAACAGCAGGATTAACGGAAATAATAAAGGATGGTAAGGCCTCCAGTGATTAGCAAGAGAGGAATGCCAGTTAGGGGCAGGAGAAGGAAGCAGTTACTAGACCTCTGTGAGAGCTGGAGCTGCAGAAAGTGGGGGACAGTTTACAAGAACTGAAGCTCTATGGAGAAACACAGCCACTGACCAAACACATCCCTCTCTGTCTCTTCTGGACCTCCAATAACCTGCTGGTGCCTCCCAATAGCCACTCTACTGGAAGGCAGAGGCCAAGGGATCCTGGGTGAAGTAAGCCTCCTATGGCACAGAGTAGGAGACAGAAGGTGAAGAATGGATCTGAGGGGGAAAATGGAGAATAACTAGGACAAGTTTAGAAACAAATCCCTTAAAAATATTGCTAAGCCAAGTTGATAAGTCAGCTTATTAATAAAAGGCAATATTTCATAACATTGCATTATTCAACAACCCTGGATAGACCCTCATTGCACATACAGAATAAAGTCCAAATTATGTTGCATGGCATTCCAAAGCCCTTCTTAATCTGGCCCAAGATGCCAGCTTTAGCTCCCTCTCCACTGTCTCCTCACCCCACAGTCGTGTGCCTTTTACACTCCTCGTCAACCAGCACCAGCATTTCTTTAATACAGCAGCATCCTCCCACCTTCATATTTTGTTACCTCTTCTTTGTACTTTGTATGTGACCTCTAGTAACCTCAGATTAATGAAGTCTCACCAGTCCTTAGAACCCAGCTCAACTGCCATACTGCTTACAAAGCATTTTCAAACTCCACCCTCTCCCCCAGAAAATAAACCTGCCCCATGGTACTGATCAGCCTACCTCAGGTCAGGTTTGGGTTAATGTCCACCCTTATGAGCCCTCTTCAGTGTCCAGGGCAGAGACCATAGGCACCACCTAGGAATGCCCAACTGAGCCCCGACCTATGAATTCTCTCACACATTGTCTTCCTTCGTGTGGTAACCATTTCCGGTGCTAATCTGGTACCCTACTGGATGCTGCATATTGTTCACACCCAACCAATGCAGGCTCTAGACCTGTGTTTCTGCAGACCCCAGAGTAAGTGCTGGAACTCTATCCCCTGGGCCTGGGGTAACTTAGTTCCCTTGGAGAACTGCTCCCTTGGAGAACTGCTCCCTTGGAGACTGGTACTGGGTATTGTCCATTTTCCTCACTAGGTTATGACCATCTTGAAGACAGTGACTGTCACACATTCATCTTAACACTCTCAGCATTGATTAGTACAGTGAATTGTGCATAGAGGGTGTTTAATACACATTACTGAATTAAATTAATTGGAATAAAAATAAGTAGAATAATAACAACTTTTTTTTACACTCTAATCTCTGTAACTTTTAGAAGTCAGGAAAGTAGACTGTTCCAGTTTCTAGTTTTAAACTTGAGAGCCCTAAGAAATAAGGGCTATGAAGATGAATCGTCTCTGAAGGAAGACCTTTTCTGTACCCTGGAGACTTTGTCTTTGACAGACAAAATGAATCAGCCATTTTAGAAGGAAGGAAAGGTTTCTGTGATATGACCTCCCCTTTCACTTAGACAAATTAATACACAAAGTGAAAACTTGCAATTTTAATTATAAAGTCAGCTTTTTCAATTCCTAAACTAAAAAAAGAAGACTTTAGAATTACTACCAAAGATTCAAAGTCATTCTGGAAACTGTTTTATGTGTGCATGGACCTTGCTTTTTTTCTTTTCCTAAGGCCATGTAGAATAAAAACTTGATTAAAAATAAATTTTTAATATTTCAGTAAGTGGTATCCTAGCAACAAGAAGTGAGAGAGTGGAGTGAATAGATACAAACTGTGGATAGACATTCCATCTGAAATTGTTTTTAAAGGCAGTTGATAAAGAATGACCATAATCAAAAGCTGGTGGGAATGTAAACTAGTACAACCACTGTGGAAAACAATGTGGAGATTCCTTAAAGAACTAAAAGTAGAACCACCATTTGATCCAGCAATCCCACTACTGGGTATCTACCCAGAGGAAAAGAAGTCATTATACAAAAAACATACTTCCATACGCATGTTTATAGCAGCACAATTCACAATTGCAAAAATGTGGAACCCGTCCAATGCCCATCAATCAGCGAGTGAATAAAGAAATTGCGGTATACCATGGAATACTACTCAGCCATAAAAAGGAAAGAAATAATGGCATTTGCAGCAACCTTGATGGAAATGGAGACCCTTATTCTAAGTAAAGTAACTCAGGAATGGAAAACTAAACATCATATGTTCTCATTCATAAGTGGGAGCTAAGTTGTGAGGATGCAAAAGCATAGGAATGATACAATGGACTTTGGGGACTCAGGGGAAAGGGTAGGAAGGGGCTGATGAGTAAAAGACTACACATTGGGTACCGTGTACACTGCTCAGGTAATGGGTGCACCAAAATCTCAGAAATCACCACTAAAGAACTTAGTTATGTAACCAAACACCACCTGTTATCCAAAAACCTATTGAATAAAATAAATAAAAATAAAGGCAGTTGATAAGGTGATCAGATCATACATATGGCTTATCAGGCAACAAATTATGTTCCTGAATAAAAGATACAGTGGAGAGGAGATTTTCACCTAATTTGCCAGTGTTTTATGGCTTTATGCTCAGTACAGATTAAGAAGTTTTTGAATTAGCTATTCTGCAAGCTGGTCATTTAAATTTCCCATAGAATTTTAGGAAATAAACCAGAATTTAATTCTTCTGTACATTTAGCTCTAGAGTATCTGTCTAAAGAACCTCTTCTATAAGGAAAATGTATGTAAGTTTTGCCAAACAACAGACCCACTAATCTTTGTGAAGTTGTTGGGGAACAGGGCTGTTGACTCTCAATTTGTTTGCCTTAAAACACAAATCAAGCATTTATCTGATTTACTTATCAATATACATATTCCTAGAAATGGAAAGTGGGCTTATAATCCTGTGGAACCCCTGGAATAGTTTACTAAGCTATCATCACACTCTAGCTATTGAATTTTTGTGAGCCCAAAGATATAATTTTTATAATGACCTTATTGACACAAAATTCATATATCACAAGATTCACCCTTTTATGATGTAAAAGTCAGAGGTTTTTACATATACATACAGAGTTGTATATGTACAGAGTTGTGCAACCTTCAACATTACCTAATTTTAGAACACTTTGATCTCCCTTCAAAGAAACTGCGCATTAGCTGTCATTCCCTATTCTCCCCTCCATCTAACTCCTCACATCCACTAATGTGTTTTCTGTTTCTTTGGATTTTCCTATTCTGGACATTTCATATCAATGGAATTAAACAATACGTGGCCTTTGTGTCTGACATCTTTCAATCAGCATAATGTTTTCAAGGTTTATCCATATTGTAGCATGTGTCAGTATTTTGTCTCTTTTTATTGCTGAATAATGTTTTATTGTATGAAAATACAATGTTTTGTTTTTACATTCATCAGTTGATGGACACTTGGTTTGTTTTTACCTTTTGCTGTTGGGAATAGTGTTTCTGTGATCATTAGTGCATACTTTTTTGTTTGAACACCTATTTTTAATTATATTGGGTATATACCCAGGTGTGGAATTTCTAGGTCGTATGATAATTTTCTGTTTAACATTTGAGGAATTGCCAAACTATTGTCCAAAACTGCTGTACCATTTTACAGCAAGGTATGAGGGTTTCAATTTTTCCACATTCTCACCAACACTTGTTATTGTCTGTCCTTTTTAGTGTAGCCATCCTAGTGGATGTGAAGTGGTGTCTTATTTAGATTTGTATTTACCTAATGACTAATGATGATAAGCATCTTTGCATATACATAGTGGCCACTTGTGGGTCTTCTTTGGAAAGATGTCTATTCAAATTACTTGTCTACTTTTAAATAGGCCATTTGTCTCCATTATTGAGTTGTAAGAGTTCTTTATATATTTTAGAAATAAGTTTCTTATCAGATATATGATTTTCAAATATTTCCTCCCATTCTTGGGTTGATCTTCATTAAAAAATAGACTATTGCTTATCGCTTTTTTAGGTTCAGAGGAAAATTGTGCAGAAATTAGAGATGTCCCATATAACCCCTGGGCCCACAAATCCACAGCTTTTCTTACTATCAACATCCCATACCAAGTGGTACATTTGTTACAATTTATAAATCTACATAGACACATCATTAACACCCAAAGTCTGTAGTTTACATTAGGGTTCACTCTTGGTGTTGTGCATTCTATGGGTTTGGACAAATGTATAATGACATGTATCCACCAACATAGAATATTTTCACTGACTTGAAAATCCTCTGTGCTTCACTTATTCAACCCTTCTCCCTCTCAACCCCCAGCAACCACTGATTTTTTTTTTACTGCCATCATAGTTTTCCTTTTTCAGAATGTAATACAGCTGGAATCATACAGTCTGTAGCCTTTTAAGCTTTGTTTCTTTTGCCTAATGACATACATTTAAGTTTCCCCTACGTCTTTTAATGGCTAATAGCTCATTTCTTTTTAGCACTCATAATATTTCATTGTCTGCATCACAGTTTATTTGTCCATTTACATACTGAAAATCATCTTGGTTTCTTCCAAATTTTGACGATTATGAATAAAGCTGCTATAAACATCCACGTGGGCTTGTCTTTTTTTGTGTGTGCATGGACGTAAGTTTTCAACCCTAATATGGTTTGGCTGTGTCCCCACCCAAATCTCATCTTGAATTGTAGTTCCCCTAATCCCCACGTGTTGAGGGAGGGACCCAGGGGGAGGTAATTTAATCATGGTGGGGGTTACCCTCACACTGTTCTCGTGATAGTGAGTGAGTTCTCATGAGATATGATGGTTTTATAAAGGGCTTTCCCCTATTTTGCTCAGCACTTCTTCCTGCCATCATGCAAAGAAGGACATGTTTGCTTCCCCTTCAGCCATGATTGTAAGTTTCTTGAGGCCTTCCCAGCCATGCTGAACTATAAGTCAATTAAACCTCTTTCCTTTATAAAATACTCAGTCTTGGGTATTTCTTCTTAGCAGCATGAGAATGGACCAATACAAACCCTTTTGGATAAACACCAAGAGCACAACTGCTGGTAAAAGTATGTCTCATTATGTAAAAAACTAGAAAACTGTCCTTCAAACTGACTGTACTATTTTGCATTCCAATAAGCAATGAATGAGAATTCCTGTTGCTTCACATCCTTGCCAACATTTAATGTTGTCCCTGTTTGGGGTTTTTGCCTGAATTGATTTTTCACTTTCTTGACGTCGTCCATTGAAACACAAACATTTTTAATTTTGACGAAGTACAGTTTATCTATTTTGCTGTTACTTGTGCTTTTGGTCTCGTATTTAACAAACCATTGCCTAACCTAAGATCAGAAAATATAAATTTACTTCTACATTTTCCTCTAAGGCTTTTATTGTTTTAGTGGTTACATTTATGTCTATTATCCATTTTGAGTTATTTTGTATATGTTGTGAGGTAGGGGTCTGACTTTACTGTTTTGTGTGTAGATATCCAGTTTTCCCAGCACCATTTACTGAAAAGACTAGTTTTTTTTATTGAATGGTCTTGGCATCCTTATTTAAAATCAATTGATCATAAATGCAAAGATTATTTCTGAACTCTCAATTTCATCCTTATTCCAACACTGTCTTGATTACTGTACCTTTGTACTAAGTTTTACAATGATGAAGTGTGAATACTTCAACTTTGTTCTTCTTTTTCAAGATTGTTTTGGATATCTTAGGTTCTTGACATTTCCATATAAATTTTATTTTTATTTATTTATTTATTTATTTATTTATTTATTTATTCCATATAAATTTTAGACTAAGGTGATCACTTTCAACACAAAAGTACACTGGTATTTTGATTAGGTATGCACTGAATCTTTACATCAATTTAGAAAAATTTGACATAATAACAATAATTGTGTTATCTAATCCATGAACATGTTATATGTCTCTACTGATTTAGGTCTTATCCAGAATATTCAGGTAGGTGTAGGGTGGGGGGTGTTGAGGTTTAAGTAAGCAAAGTACAAGTACTTTATTAGGGTGGCAAAATTATTCTGTATGATATTGCAATAGCGAATACAAATTGTCAAAACTCATAGAACTTTACAACACAAAACATAAAGGTTGTGGACATATTTTGTTACAGTTATTTTGCTTTTTTGGCATGGTATTAGCAAAAGAATAGACCCAAGGATCAGTCAAACAGACTACAGGGCCCAGAAATAGACCCACACAAATATAGTCAACTGATTTTTGACAAAGAAGCAAAGGCAATACAATGGAAAAAGAATAGTCTTTCCAACAAATGGTGCTGGAACAATTGAGTGTCCATATGCAAGCAAGGAACTCAAACACACACCTTACACTTTTCACAAACATCAACTCAAAATTCATCATAAACATAAATGCAAAATGCATAGGTATAAAACTCCTTGAAAAAAATAGGAGACAATTTATACAGCCTTGGGTTTGGTGGTGAATTTTTAGATACAACACCAATAGTAATGCAAAAAAAAAAAAAGATGAACTTTCTTAAAAACAAAAATTTCTGCTCTGCAAAATACCCATTAAGAAAATTAGACAAGTCTCAGACTCATCCGATATGCAAAGCACATATCAGATAAAAGATCTGCGTCCAAAATACATAATAAGAAAATAACAATCCAATTTAAAAATAGACAAAAGGCCTCATCAGACACCTCACCAGAGAAGATATGTAGGTGGCAAATATGTATATATAAAGATGCTCTACATTATTTGTTACTAAGGAATTTCAAATTAAACAACAATGAGAAGTCACTGCATACCAATCAGAATAGCTAAAACAAAACAAAACAAAAACTACTAACAGAGTAACAGTAGCTCTCACTCATTGCTGGTTGGAATGCAAATTGATACAGCAACCTTAGAAGGCAGGTTGGCTGTTGCCTACAAACTAAAAATTGTCCTACCATATGATCCAGTAACCACGCTATTCGGTATTTACTCAATGATTTGAAAATGTATGTCCATACAAAAACCTTCATGAGAATGTTTATACCAGTTTTACTTATAATTCCCCCCAAACTGGAAGCAATAATGATGTCTTTCAGTAGGCAAATGAACAAACTGTGGTACATCTATTCAATGGAATATCATTTAGTGATAAAAAGGAACAAGCTAGCAAGCTATGCAAAAACATAGATAATTCTTTGATGAATATTGCTAAGTGAAAAAAGCCAGTCTGAAAAGGCTGTATATTATTTCAATTTTATGACATTATGGAAAAGGAAAAAGCCATAGCAATGGTAAAAGGTCAGTGGTTTCCAGGTGTTCAGCAGAGGGTGGGTGAGTAGGGCCGGGAGGTTCGAACAGGTAAAGTATAGGTAAATTTTTGGGAAGGCAAAACTATTCTATATGATACTGTAATTGTGAATGAAGGTTATAAAGCATTTATCATTCCAATTTTAGTATGTGTGCTGCCAAGGCGAGCATGAGCATTTATCAAAACTCATAGAAATTTATAACACAAAAAGTAAACCTTTATGTATACAAGTTTTTAAAAACTTTAGAATGTCAGAGGATCCCAGGATGGAATATAGAGTATAACAAAACAATCTAACTCTATTTAAGTGTAGGTAGCCACTTCATTTAAGGAGGTTACTTAGAATGCTGATCTAAGTAACTTTGGAAATGAGTAGAGTCTGTAAAACTAAGGGTAAAATTAACTATACATAAGGACAGTATGCTAGTTGATAACCATTTTCCCCCTACAGAGTTAGAGGATAACAATTCTCAAACCAGTATACATGTATACTGAAACTGAATAATTAAGCAAATGAATGGAAGATGATGTGATCCAGGTTTCTTGTTGATGCAATGAGAGGTTAAAAGGGAAGGAAGCAAAGATGATCCTTGTGATAATAGATTAAGTTGGAGATATCAGTATGAACTTATGTTTGGCTTAACATAGATACCCATGGTTACATATAGGAATATGTGTAGATGTGTATATATACACAAGGAAGTATATACACAAGGAAATATGTACACACATATATGTCTTTGCTCTGGCAGCTGAGAAGACCTAAAAGCAATGACACCCCAATAGCAATGAACATACCTTGCACCCAGATATTGGTTTCCAATAGCATTCTCCCATAAAAGGAACTAGTTCTCCTTGGAGAAATGGCTGCTTCTAGGAATAGAGCCAGAAATACACAATATGTGCCTGGAGCATCTTGTAATGTCAGAACGTCAAAAAATGCTCAAATATAAAAACCCACAATGATGACAATATGTTAAAGGGACACAGAAGTCAACTAAAAGAGCTCCCAGTGGCCAAAGTTGGAAAAATCTGAGCAACATAAATAAAGTAGTATTGAATTATAACCCAAAGTATAAATAAATATCCATGAATGCATATGGACATAAATCAATGATTGAACAAATAGTCTGGGAGCAGTGGCTCACACCTGTAATCCCAGCAATTTAGGGGGCCGAGGTGAGCAGATCACTTGGGGTCAGGAGTTCGAGACCAGCCTGGCCAATATCATGAAACCCCATCTTTACTAAAAATACAAAAATTAGCTGGGCGTGGTGGCGCACACCTGTAGTCCCAGCTACTTATGAGGCTGAGGCAGGAGAATCACTTGAACCCAGGAGGTGGAGGTTGCAGTGAGCCGAGGTTGTGCCACTGCACTCCAGCCTGGGTGACAGAGCAAGACTCCGTCTCCAAAAAATAAAAAATAAAATAAATGATTGAACAAATAATTAATTAGGGGAAAGTAGATAAATCACATCTTCAGAAGAATTCCAAATAATTCATGTACATTTTTAGTACCTAAGGAGATAGAGCAAAACTCCTTACTCCTTAAGTGCAGGTAATGTATACACATGACGTTCCAAAGAGTACAGTATGGACAGGAGCTGCAGCAGAGTGGCGAGTAACTTTACAGTGGTGAAACCAGACTAATACTGCTGCAAGCCAAGTGATCAAAGTTAACATCAACAGTAATAAGTGTTATTGATATTATGTACTCTGGATATGATATAGTGAAAATGGCACTTCATCTCCATGGTCTTCCCCCAAACTCATAATCCCAGCCTAATCATAAGAAAAACATTAGGCAAATTCTAATTGAGGGACATCTACAAAAAGCCTGACCAGTATTCCTCAGAGTTATAAAGGTCATAAAAAACAAGAAGTGTTTGAGAAACCGTCGTAATTGAGGTGTCTATGGAGACATGACTACTAAATGCAATGTATCCTGGATAGAATCCTGGAAGAGGAAAGAGGATATTAGAGAAAAACTGGGAAAATCTGAATAAAGCATGGGTGTTAGTAATATATCAATACTGGGGCATTAATTATGATACATGTCCCATACTAATGGAAGTTGTCTATAATAGGAGAAATTGGATTTGATGTATGTGGAGAATCTCTACTATCCTTGCAATAATTCTGTAACTCCACAACTGTTCTAAAATGAAAAGTTTATGTCAAAATACTCCAGAGATTAAGTATATATAGGTATTGAAGAAATAATATTAGGATAAAATTGCTAGATTGATTATAAAACTGGTTAATATTCTACAAAGAAATAAAACAAATTCTAGGGTTATCTTTTTTACTAGACAGAAATCATCTGCAACATATTAATCTTCTGCATATTAACACATAGCTTCACAGAATCTGCTCTCTAATCAATAGCAAAAACTAAGTCAAGCAAAAGTGCATTCCCCTAGAGCAGAGGTTGGGAAGTTTTTCCTAAGGAGCTAGACAGTAAATATTTTAGGCCTGCAGGCCATTCAGTCTGTGTTGCATCTACTCAACTCTCTTGTAATAGCCCCAAAGCAGCTATAGATAATATACAAAGAAATGAATGTGGCTGTGTTCCAACAAAGCTTTATTTACAAAAACATGTGGCCAGCCTATGAGCCAGAGTTTCCTGACCTCTGCCTTAGAGTATTGAATAAGCCTCAATGGGGCTGTTAGACAATACTCCAATATGACATTGAAAAGACTTGGAGTCGCCTGTTTGCCTTTTCTTTAGGCTTGGATCCATTTTCCTACCAGTCCCCAGTTGATGGTCTTCTGTAGCTTGCTACTGCTGAAACAACCTCCTTTGCTCCAGCATGTTTTATAAACACTGGTCAGAACTTTATAAATGATGTTTTATAAATTTGGTGAGACTATTTCTGGCCACTGTCATCCATTTGAGACTATGTCTGCGGCCAATGCTGTGTGTCTTTCCTGGGCTTCAGAGAATCCTCCCCATAGAGACAGTGATTGGGCTGTCCTTGCTTGGCCTCCCCTCCTTGGGCCTCCCCTTTACTGTATTGTCCTGTTACTAAGGTCAACTGGGACTTCACTTTTGTTCCCATCTGTCTTCCACCAGGGATGTATTAGAAATCTGTCAACAATGGTTCTGATTTTTCACCATTGGGAAGAGCATACTCCTGCACACATTCTTCAATCTGTCCTTCTGGAGGGAGAAGTGGCTGCACTAAGTCTTTAAGATTTAATAGGAGTTAGAGGACTTTTAGTTATGTGACATTCTTTATCCCTAACCCACCCTAACCTCTCCTTCTCAAGACAGACTGTCCAAAGTTCTCAATATATGTCTTTATAAGGTTTTAAGTAGTTCTTGGTCCTAGAGGTAAAAATACAAGCATTGTTTCCCTAGCCCATATTGGTTTTAAGGAACAGTTTTTGACTCTTGAACCCTCACTCAGTGTCATTATTAGAAGACAAATCCCCCTCTTGTCTTTCAGTACCCAAGAGTTTCCTGGTCTGCCTTGGGGTTCTTGGCAATTCTTTGAGGTAGTTGCCCCCCTCCCTCCAATACTTGAATTTTCCTCCTTACTGTTCTCTGATCCACAGAGTGGTGCTGCATTCTAATTCTGCCTGGTCTGTGCCACCACCCCTTCTTGCTAATGTTTCTATTTGCTTATTCTGTATCATGCTAATTTCAGAGTATAACAAAATAGCTGAACAACTTAGGTCGAGTATTGATTTGTCAAGTCTTCAAACTGATAGTCTTTAAACATTTGTCCAATATTTGAGAGAGGGGGCAAGTGTTTGATGGAAGAAAGGAAAGTAGAGATGGACAGCCTGAGAGATAGACAGCACATGGCTGAGACTCTATTGTCTGGAGCAATTCAGCTCTGGCCCTGAGCTTGCAAACTCCATTCAGCAAAACAAAATCTCCACAATTAGACAGAACCACCATCTTTAAAAGGCAATCAGAAACACATACTGCCTATCCAGATCCTTTTCCCCTAAATAAGTTCTGTATATTCTTCAAGACTTGATTCAGATGTTGTATGCTCCAGCTTGGCCTGACACCTGTACACCTCTAGAACCCTGCGTATATATACCTGACTCTTAAAATGAACTATTTATGTGTCTGTTCTCCTACACTGTGAATTCCTCAAGGACTGGGCCCAGTCTTCACTACTATTGTATCTTCTGCACTTATAGTATTGTGCCTGACATGTAGTTGAAGTTCAATAAGTTTTGGTTGAACTCAGTTGAACACTCATTACATTATTGAGAACTTACACATAACATTATAGTGGATCAAAATAGTTATTTCTAATTTAATTAGCGTCTTTAAGACTCACTTATGCTATTATTAAATATGAATGATGACAGTAACTATGATTCACATACTTTATGGGCTGAATTAATCTCTAGCTGTAGTGTTTACAGCTAAACTTTTTATTGAGGAGCTAGCTTACTTTGGCTATGCCTTAAAAAAAAATGACAAAGGAAGAACATCTGTTTATAGTTTTACTGATTCTTCTAAGTTTCCATTTAGTGTCCTGATGCAGAAAATTACTAAATGCTACCCTGGGATTTTGAAGGCATAAATAGAGCTTACAAAGAGCCCTGTGAATTTCCCTGGAAGCAACTCATTGTTTTAGGAAAATGTGCTTCATTAACTATGATAATAGGTCAAAGAGAGATGGATATGGAAGCATTTTCATAGCAAGAGCCCTGAATCTGTGCAGATGATGCATAGATTAGGTGTGGGTATAAAACTGTTGGTGGAGGGGAAAAGGTGAGATGTTGGGAAACCTGTGAGACTAAGGTAGATCTTTTTAAGTGGTTTCGACTTGATCCTCAGTAAAAAAATAATTTTACATCATGATCCAGTACATACATACATGCATGTGTATTATGTATAATTAAAATTTAACTTTCATTCAAAAACACTTTTATTTTATGTGTTCTGTTTTAGTCTATTCTATCCCATTAAAAAAATGCTTATTTACTCTCTAAATTTATTTTACCGCCCTTTAGGTTGTCAAGGTTTACAATTATTTCCCCAATATTTTATTATGAAAATATTCAAATATATAGAAAACCTAAAAGAATTACATTAAACACTCATATGTCCACCATTTAGTTTCAGCAATTCAAACTAAGTTTCAGACACTTAACTACCAAATGCTTCACATACATATTATAAACTAGAGTTCAATTCTTCTGGTTCTTTTTTTTTAGGTAAAATGTGTAGGTAGTGAAATGCACAAGTTTAAGTGTGTATTATAATTTCCTAGGGCTGCCATAACTAATTTCCACAAACTGGGTGGCTTAAAACAACAATTTTGGCCTGGCATGGTGACTCACACCTGTAATACTAGCACTTTGGGAGGCCGAGGCAGGTGGATCACCTGAGGTCAGGAGTTCGAGACCAGCCTGGCCAACATGGTGAAACCCTGTCTCTACTAAAAATACAAAAATTAGCTGGGTGTGATGGCGGGCACCTGTAATCCCAGCTACTTGGGAGGCTGAGGCAGGAGAATTGCTTGAACCTGGGAGGTAGAGGTTGCGGTGAGCCAAGATTGTGACATTGCACTCCAGCCTGGGTGACAAGAACGAAACTCTGTCTCAAAAAAACAAAACCAAAAACAAACAAAAAAAGAAATTTGTTCTCTCCTAGTTGTGCAGGCCAGAAGTCTGAAACCAAGGTGTTGGCAAGGCTGGTTTCTCCTGGAGGCTCTGAGGGATAATCTGTTCTATGCCTGTTCTCTCTCCTGGCTTCTGGTGGTTGCCCATAATTCTCAGTGTTCCTTGGCTTGCAGCTGGATCACTCCAATATCTGTCTCTGTCATCATATGGTATTCCCATTTGTCTCTGTATCCCTGAGGCTTTACATGGCCTCCTTGTACTGTCACCAGTCATTGGAGCTAGGGCTCACCCTAGTCCAGTATGTCCTTATCTGAATTTGATTACATCTGCAAAGACTGTATTTCTAAATAAGATCATAGTTACAGGTACCAGAAGTTAGGACTTTAAATAACTTTTGGGAGAACATAATTCAATCCACAACAAAGTGCAAAACTCATTCCACGAGATTTCACAAGTACATACACGTATGTACCTGAAATTTTATTAAGATATAGACTATTACCTTCATCCCAGAAAGTTCCCTAGGTTACTTTCCAGTTAAGAGACAACCGCTCTCTTTATTTTTTTCACCCTAGAGTGGCTTTGCCTGTTCTAGAACTCCATATAAAAAGAATCATACAATATGTATTCAGTGTTTTTATTCAGAATGTTTGTGAGCTCATCCATGTTGTTGCATGTATAGTAGTTTATTCCTTCTTATTGGGGAGCAATGTTTCATTATATGAACATACTATAGTTTGTTTATCCATTATCCTATTAATGGGGATCCAGACTATTTCCAGGTTTGGGCTGTAAGAATAAAACTGTTAAGAGCACTTTTGAACAATTTTTTTGGGGGACGTATGTTTCCATTTCTCTTTGGTTTTGGTTTGTTTATTGTTTGTTTTTGTTTGGTTGGTTTTGTTTTGTTTTGAGACACGGTCTGTGTTGCCCAGGCTAGAGTACACTGATGTGATCTAGGCACACTGCAACCTCTGCCTCTCAGCCTCAAGCGTTCCTCCTGCCTCAGCCTCCTGAATAGCTGGGACTACAGGCGTGCGCCACCATGCCTGGCTGATTTTTATATTTTTTTATAGAAACGGGGTTTTGCCATGTTGGCCAGCCTGGTCTCAAACTCCTGGACTCAAGCGACCCGCCTGCCTCAGCCTCCCAAAGTGCTGGGGTTACACGTGTGAGCCACCATGCCAGGCCTCCTCTTTGTTACTGTATTAGCATCGCTTTCTATTGCTGATGCAACAAATTACCACAAACTTAGCAGTTTATCATACGAACGTATTAACTTACAATTCCGCAGGTTAGAAATTCAACAGGGCTCTCACTGGGCTAAGACCAAGGTGTTGGCAGGGCTGTGCTCCTTTCTGGAGGCCCTCGGGGGAGAATCCATTTCCTTGTCTTTCCCAGCTTCCAGAGGCTGCCCACATCCTTGGCTAGTGGCCTCCTTTCTCCATCTTCAAAGCCAGCAACATTGCATCTCTTTGATGTTTCTTCTCTAATTACATTGCCCTCATACCCTAATACTTTTGCCTCCCTCTTCCACTTTTAAGGACCTTGTGATTACACTGGGCCCACCCGGATAATCCAGGATAATCTCCCTAATTTAAGGTCAGCTGATTAGCAACGTTAACTCTCCTTTGCCATGCAACAGAGGTCTTAGGGATTGGTACATAGGCAACTTGGGATGGAGTGGGGGTGAAGGGGGCACATGGTGGCATTATGCTGCCTACCACAGGTAAATAGTCAACAGTGGAATTAATTGCTAATCATAGGGAAGATGTATGTTTAACTTTTTAAAAAATTGCCCAAACTTCCCCCAAAGTGACTGTAAAATTTTATATTCTCGTCTACAATGTGTGAGAGTTCTGGTTATGTTATGCCACATCCTTGTCAACATTTGCAAATGTCTGTTTTAGACATTCTAGTGAATATTAGTGATGTTTTATTGTGGCTTTAATCTGCATTTCCATGATGACTGGTGACTTTCAGCCCTATTGATTTGCATATTTTTCTTCTGCAATTTTTTTTTTCAAATGTTTTGCCCTTTGACAAACAACCCAGTAAAAAATTAGGGATTAGTACAAAATGCCATCATGTTCCCCCTCCCCCAACCCCCCACTCCATCCCAAAATGCCTATGTACTAATCCCTAATTTTTTACTGGGTTGTCATTTTATTCCTGAATTGTATGACTTCTTTTTATATTCCGGATAATAGTCTTTTTTTTAAATACGTTTTGCTAATATTCTCTTTCAGTCTGTGATTTGTCTATTCATTTTATTAATATATTTTGATAAGCAGAAGTTTAAACTTTTTGTTTTATGATTTTTGCTTCCTGTGTCCTTTTAGAAGTTTTATAGTTTTAACTTTGATGTTTAGGGGAATGATCCACCTTGAATTATTTTTCTGTGAATAGTGTGAGCTAGAAGTTGAACTTTCTTTCTTTCCATATTGCATATTCAGTTATTCAATAATCATTTGTTGAAAAGATTTTCCTTTTCTCATTGGATTGCTTTGGCGGCTTTGTTGAAAATCCAATGACTATATATGTGTGGGTTTATTTTTGAATTCTTTACTCTGTTCCATTGATCTAGTTATCTTTCCTTACGTATATGAGTAACAAACTTTTGATTACTGTGGTATATAGCAAGTCCTGAAGTCAAGTAGTGTGAGTCCTCCAACCTCATTCTTCTTATTCCATTTGGTTTTGGTCTTCTTTGCACTTCCATACAAACTTAAATATCAGTTTATTCATTTCTACCTAAAATCTGGTGGAATTCTGATTCAAGATGCATGAATCCATAAATCAATTTAGGAATGATTAACATCTCAAAATATTGAGTCTTATAACCCATGAACCTGGCATTTTCCCATTTATTTAAATCTTTAATTTCTCACATCAATGGCTTGAGTTTTTAGTGTAAAGATTATGTCCATGTTTTGTTACATTTATTTCCAAATCTTACATTTACGTTTCTATATTATTGTAAATAGTATTGTTTGAAATTTTATTTTCAAATTGTTTGCCATCGTTTTGTAAAAATATGATTTATTTTTGTATATTGATTTTGTGTCCTGTGATATGGCTAAATTAACTTGTTAGTTCTATTAATGTTTCTGTATATCTGAGTATTTTCTACAAGCAGTCATATTATCTGTGAATAAAGATAACTCTCTTCATTCTGTTATAATTTCTATGCCTTTTAATTCTTTTGCTTATTTTGTTGCATTACCCAGGATTGCCAGGACAGTATGCAACAGAAGTGGATGAATATACATGCTTATTCCTGATTTTAAAGGGAAAAGATACACTACCTCAACATTAGTATAATATTAGTCGTAGGTTTTTCTTAGATGTTCTTTATTAGATTGAAAGGTGTCTACTCCTTATTTGCTAGGTTTAAAAACAATTATGAATGAGTGGTGTATTCTGTCAAATGTTTTCTCTGTGTCTATTTAGATGACAATGTTCTTCTCCTTTCTCCTGTTGATATACTGAATTTGTTGATGGACTTTTGAGTGTTTAACCAAACTTGATTTCCTATAAAGCCAACTTTGTCATAATGTGTCATCCTTTTTATATATCACTAGATTCCATTTGCTAAATTTTGTTAAGGATTTTTATGCTATGAACAAATGATTTTGGCTTGTATTTGTGTGTGTGCGTGATTTCTTTTTCAGGTGTTAATTAACATTATGCTGAACTCATAAAATCAGTTTGAAAGTGTTCTCCTTCCTGAATATCTGAGGTTCTATACAGCATGATTTTCTTTTAGTCTAAAGAATTTCCTCCTTAAACTACTGGGTGGGGAAAAAAAAGAATTTCCTTTAGAAGTTTTTTGTGGTACAGGTATGCTGGCAACTAATTCTGTTTGTACTCATTTATCTTTTAACAATTCTACCTTCCTCATTCCTGAAGGAGCCTTCCTTCCTTTCTTTCTTTCTTTTTCCTTCCTCCCTCCCTCTCTCTCTCTTTCTTCCTTCCTTTCTTCCTTTTTGTTTCTTTCTGTCTTTCTTTCTGTCTTTCTTTCTCTCTTTCTTTTTCTTTCCGTTGTCTCTCTCTTTCTTCTTTCTTTTCTTTCTTTCTCTTTCTTTCTTTCTCTCTCTCTCTTTCTCTCTTCTTTTCTTCCCCTTATTTCTTTTCTCAAGGTCTCACTCTGTCACCCAGCCTGGAATGGTATCTTGATCATGGCTCACTGCGACCTCAACCTTTCAGGCTCAGATGATTTTCCCACTTCAGCCTCCCGAATAGCTGGGGCTACAGCACTCCTGGCTAATTATTTAAATTTTTTTGTAGAGACAGGGTCTTCCTATGTTGTCCAGGCTGGTCTGGAGCTCTTGGGCTCAAGCAACCCTCCCACCTTGGTCTTCTAAAGTGCTGGGATTACAGGTGTGAACCACCATGCCCGCTTCTATTTTTTTAAATATAAAATTCTAGGTTTACAGTTCCATTCTGTCATGCTTTTAAAGACATTCTACTGTCTTCTGGCCTCCACTGTTTCCAGTGAGAAGTGAATGGTAATTCATGTCTTTGTTTCTCCGTACATAACAAGTTGCTTTCTCTGGCTGCTTTCAAGATAATTCTCCTTACCTTCACTTCCTACATTTTGACTTTGATGTGCTTAAATGTAGTATATTTTGCAACAGTCGTGCTTGGATTCATTGAGCTTCTTGAATCTGTAAATTTATGCCTTTTACCAAATTTAGAAAAAAAAATATGCCATTGTTTCTACTAATACTTTTTTGTTCCTTTCTTTTGTTTTGGGATTCCACATGCACATATGTCAAATCAGTAATGTCAGCAGGGACCTAGCTTCCTTACACTTTTCTGCTCTGCTATTCTGGCATATTCTTCACACTTACTTTCTTCATGTTTCTAAGATGTTCACCACAGGACCAGACCACATGAAGATGCAACACTCCATAAAAAAAGAAGGTGTATTTCTTTTTGTATGCATGTTTTTAAGAGCTAAAAGAAAAACTTTCCCAGATGGTCTTTAGTAACATTCCACACGCAAACATCTCATTGGCCAGGACAAACACAACAGTAAGTTAATCAGTGACAAGGGAAATGGGACCACTCTGATTAGCTTAGTTTAATCAATATCTATCCCTGGGAGGTCATGGAACAGAATATGATTCTCCCAGTATGGGAAAAGGATATTGGGTATGAGTTATCAGGAGACAACAAACATTGCCACCTACACTGGAGAACTCCTCAGGTGTTTCTATTACCAAGTCCTAGAGTCATGTCTATATCCCTTCTCTTTGGGAGTTTCGAAGCTGCCATCCTCCACTCTTCTCTGTGATATTCCTGGCTTTGGGTTTCCCAAACCCCTCAGGATGCTTGGCTTTTTATCCCTCCTGCAAATGCACAGTTTGTTTCATTATAACATCCTTGTCTTTAGGAGATTGTAAGAAAAAAAGGGGGTTAAAAATGAACTATGAAGAGGCTATGAAGCTTTAAAAAAACATTCACAGTGTTTACTCTCATGGTCTCTGAGCCATAGTTCCCAAGTTCCTTCTGAGATAATAGCTAAATATCTGCTAGATTATTGTTTTCAGCTCTCTATCTATTCCAGAATGTCCCCTGGCTGAATCCACAGTACCTTGTTCTTTAGATTCAAAGCAATGCTAAACCCTTTATTCATGAAAGCATTATATTTGGCTAATACTTGCAGAGATCCGTCAGTTGGAAAATAGCATTGGGAGGATCCCTTGACTGATGACAGTGATATGTTCCCCCACAAAGCAGCCACTTTGGGCACCTCTGCCAGTCCATGCTGGGCTTCTCCTGATTCTCTAATGCTGTAAAGAGAAAGGCTGCTGTATTCAGACTGCGATTTAGGAATTTTCTAGAGTCTTTCTTTGCCATTGAACAGTATCTCTGAAACTTTATGCCATTTCTTGATATTCCATCCCTAAAAAGCCTCATCTCAAAATCTTCAAAATAGGTTCCCCAAGCTCAGATAGATATTCCATCCCAAACATACACATAACAAGGAGTACATGCTTGTAAGTGTGTGTCATTATTTCTGGGTTCTGTATTCTGTTTCATTGGTCTATGTGTTTGTTTTTGTACCAGTACCATGTTGTTTTGGTTACTGTAGCCTTGTAGTATAGTTTGAAGTTGGGTAACGTGATGCTTCCAGCTCCGTTGTTTTTATTTAGGATTGTCTTGGCTATTTGGGCTCTTTTTTGGTTCTATGTGAATTTTAAAATAGTTTTTTTCTAGTTCTTTGAAGACTGTTATTAGGAATTTGATAGGAATAGCACTGAATCTGTAAATTGCTTTGGGCAGTATGTCCAAAATATTCATTCTTTCTATCCATGAGCATGGAATATTTTTCCATTTGTTTGTGTTGCTTCTGATTTCCTTGAACAGTGTTTTGTAATTCTCATTATAGTAAACTTTCACCTTCCTGGTTAGTTGTATTCCTAGGTATTTTATTCTTTTGGTGGCTATTGTAAATGGGATTGCATTCTTGATTTGGTTCTCAGCTTGGATGTTGTTGCTATATAGAAATGCTACTGATTTTTATACATTGATTTTGCATCCTGAAACTTTGCTGAAGTTATTTATCAGATCAAGGAGCTTTTGGGCTGAGACTGTGGGATTTTCTAGATATAGAATCATGTTGTCTGAAAACAGGGATAGTTTGACTTCCTCTCTTCCTATTTAGATGCCTTTTATTTCTTTCTCTTGCCTGATTTCTTTGTCCAGGACTTCAAATACTATGTTGAATAGCAGTGGTGAGAGAGGGCATCCTTGTCCTGTGCCAGTTTTCAATGGTGTTGCTTCCAACTTTTACCCATTTAGTATGATGTCGGCTGTGAGTTTGTCATATGTGGCTCTTATTATTTCGAAGTATGTTCCTTCATTGCCTAGTTTGTTGAGGGTTTTTAACATAAAGGTATGCTGAATTTTATTGAAAGCCCCTATTGAGATAATCGTATGGTTTTTGTCTTCAGTTCTGTTTATGTGATGAATCACATTTATTGACTTGTGTATGTTAAACCAACCTTGATCCCAGGGATAAAGCCTACTTGACCATGGAGGATGAGTTTTTTGATATCCCCCTGGATTTGGTTTGCTAGTATTTTGTTGAGGATTTTTGCATCTAAGTTCATCAAGGATATTGGCCTGAAGTTTTTCTGTGTGTGTGTCTCTGCCACGTTTTGGTGTCAGGATGATGCTGCACTCATAGAATGAGTTGAGGAGGAGTCCTTCCTCCTCAATTTTTGGGAACAGTTTCAGTAAGAATGGTACCAGCATTTTTTATACATCTGGTAGAGTTTGGCTGTGGACCTGTTTGGTCCTGGGGTTTTTTAGGTTGGCAGCCTATTTATTACAAATTCAATTTTGGAACTCGTTATTGGTCTGTTCAGGACACACAACAGTGTGAACAGGCATAATTGTGGCTGTCTGGCCATTCTTTCTCTCTACTCTAGAAATAAACAATACAGAGCAGAATAGCTAAGAAAAGAATAGAAGCAGAGTATGAGCACAATAATGACAAGGACTGAAGTCATATCAGATTCAAGAACTCATGTTATATGGTAGACAAGGGAGTGTTCAGAAATAAGGGAGTGGAAATCATGTCTGAAAATCCTGGTGGTTAAACATTTAATAGGGGTTTGACATCGAGCTGTTGAGGCAAACACTATTGAGTTGTGGTCCTTAGAAGTTAGGCTATGAGAAAAGTTTTGGGAGTTTGGAGTCTAGGCAAGGGAGTAAGAGAAGATAGCAGTAGAATTGTAGAGATGGATAACCCAGAAAGTTAGGCAAAGAAGACAAAAGAAGATGTGGCCATTGGCCAGGAGTGTATCTGGCCCAAAAGTGTGTGTCTTCTGGCCTGAATAATACCTTCTAGTGGGCATGGAAGGTCCTGGGTCTGCAGGTGTGTTCAGAGAGGTATGGTATGTCACAGAAAGGATACTGGATTAGGAAGCACCAGGCATAAACTTTAATCCTAGCTCTGCCCCATGCAAGCTATATAGCCTTAGGGAATTCATTTAATCTCTCTGAACCTTCGCTTCTTCATTTGAAAAACTTTGATGAAAGCACTTGTATTCTGTGAGGATAAGACAATACATGTAAAATTACTTTGAAACTTTAAATTACTGTGCAAGTGTAAGCCATTACTATCTTATTACTGTGAGTACAGTGCCCTCTGATTAAAATAAGCAAAGAAAGGAGATAACAGAGGTATAGCGGATATTCAAGTTCCAGACATCCAATAAAGAAGCTATCCATATGAGCTATCCGTATCCATATGAGCCTAAATTATTTTTTTCTCAGCAATGTGAAGTTATCTAAGACTTAGAGTAGTAAGACAATGCAAATAGCTATCATTTTGTATAGTTGTTAGGACTTTTGGCTTCAAATGACTGAAATTGGCTTCAAATGACAGAAAAAAGGGAAAGTTTGTTGACTCACAGAACAGGAGAAGGCAGAGAGGCAGCTTCATTTAACCATGGCTCAGTTCAAGGGCTTAAATGGTGTTGTAATCTTTCTCTTTCCCTTCTTAGTTGTTTACCCCTGTGTGGACTTGTTTGCCCTCACATTGCTGGCTCATCATATCATTCCAGCTTAGCAACCTTAGCAGAAGGAAAAATGGACTCTCCCACCTTCCATATGCTAATCCCCAAAAAAGACTTGGATGCCCCCTGCCCCAGCACCACCCTGTCCTCAATCTTTGGGTAACATGCTCACCTCTGAATAAATCAGAGCATATTTACTTTTTCCAAGTATCAGATGCATAAAGTTATAAGTAAAAGAATCTATTTTCATTAACATGTGGTCAAACCAGAAGCTCTCTTCTATCAGGAATATATTTGATAATACAATATGTACAATTATAAAAGTGCCATATGCTTTTTTCTTATGATAGAAACTCCATGAAATTGAATTTATTAGAATTCTTGAGTTTATAGCCTATGCTTGTGATATTTGACAGCTTTCTGAAATTTGTCACTTGTTTCAATTTTTCTTCTCTTCATTTGGCACCTACTGTGTGTCAAATGCTTCACTGGTCGCTGGGGATATACAAGTGAACACAGTAGGCCCTTATGTCACTTGCCTAGGAAATTGTCAGATCACCACCAGTAAAATGAGAGGGCCTCCAAAGGACTTCTCTGTGAACCTTTGGTCACCCAAAAACTGTAACTGCCACTTCACTATACACTTAGGTTGATTTTTTAAAATCTGTAAGTCTCCCTGTAGCCTAGCACTGGAAGATAGACAAAAACAAAAGAGAACTAGTTAACATCTATTAATGAGACAGAACAAAGCAAGACAACAAAGGCAAGACTGCAATAGTGGCAGAGACCAACTTTCTGTATTTGAGGTTGGATCTTGACTTTTTTGGAATTTTATTTTAGCTATTTTTATCTTAATGAAAACTATATAATAATGATGGTGAAATGTATAAGCTGTGAAATCCTGTGTTTCTGGATGCAGGAGGGATATTCAATGGGGTGAAACAGGAAATGTCATAAAATCCAGGCACTATTATGCTGGAGAGACATTTTAAAGGTGCAGATTAGCCTGGAATTTGTCTCTTAGCTCAAAAGCCGTAAGTTTATAAAACTCTCCCTACCACCACCTACAGCAACCCAGAACATATCAAAATTAAAAGCTCAAAAAGACAGTGCAGAGAAATGCTCTGCCATTTAAATAGAGACAAGACACTTTCAAGTAGTAAGCAACTTCGGCTGGCATTTTGCAGAGTGTATTAAAAAATAAATCTTCTTAAATTGTAGCATGCAATGAAGACTTAAAGTATGAACTTTAAAAATCATTGCCGCCAAGAGATTTGTGAATTCTCTAAAATGGTATTGAAATATCTGCTATAAGAAAGAAGCCATTTCAAATGCAGATGGTGAAGGTGGTAAATACCTTCTGAAAGGGAAATAATCTATAAATTTACAGTAAAGGAAAAAGAGACATTCCCTTGGCATCCTCAGCTAAGGGTTTCAACAATTCCTAGTTAAGGATTGAAGGGTTGAAAGTTATTATCAGACTCTATGCTGTTTATTATTTTTTAATGTACATACACCTAATAGGTATGTGTATGGGCATGGGTATGGATATGGACACAGACATAGATATATAGATACATGGATATAAACACACCCATTCTGGAAGGGCTATTATTGCATACTTGATCTTTTACCTTTATGTATCAAACTTCTATACACATCCACACATGGTTAAGTAATGTAATAGTCAAGTATATTTAGTTTTCATTCTATTGAGTGAGTTTAGTCAATTTTACCCTCTTTGTTGCCATTACAAAGTCTCTGCTTCATTACCCTCTCTGGTGAACTGAAAAGACCTTGACATCAGATCTTGGTATAAAATTTGACTCTTTCACCTGCCAGACATGAGACCTCAAGCAAATTGTGTAGTCTCCAAGTTGGTAAAATAAGAAGAATAAGACTGATGCCCAAGGCTACTTTGCCCAAGATTAAATTATGTAATATATGTAAAGTTTCTGTAACCTACCACCCTAAGGGAAACTTCCTGCCCATATTTTCTGTTCACAGGGACTAGTGTGCCACATATAAAACAACGTGACCTCCCCTATTAGTTTTGGCCCTGGGTGGTGACCCACTCTCTGGTACCAGAGAGGAAATGACCCCAGTCCCTGGGCCTGTGTCCTCTGAGCCTATGGGGGCAGGGGCCGCCCCATCAGCCCTCTGCATCCATGGAAGTTGTTCTTCCTTCATTTCATTTCATCACTGTCCTTTTCAGTCCAGGCTGGCAGTATTTGTACTGGTATAAAATTCTCAGAAACCTCACTGGCCTTCTGTGCAATTCATGGAAATCCAAGCTATCAGACAAGAGGTCTTCCAGACTTTTAGATAACTATATCTCTATTCGTGGCTTCTGCTGAGATGGCTAATGGGATCCATGAGTTAAAAGCCTAATCTCTTTAGCAAAGGCTTCTCTAGACACACCCTTTGCCCTCTTTCCAGAGAACACTATCTGGTGAGGCTGAGACTCAGCCAAAGCATCAAGTGCTGGTTTCTTTTTACTTAGCAGTTTATTCTTCAATTTATTTCTTTCTTCTCATGTTGTGTTAAAAGCAATAAGGAGAAACCAGGTAGTACCTTCGAAACTTTTGTTAGAAATTTCCTCAGCTAAATATCCAAGTTCATTGCTTACAAGTTCTACTTTCTAACACAGCACAATTCAACCAAGTTATCAGCCACTTTATAACAAGGATCACCAGTCCTCCAGTTTTCAACATTTCGTCATTTCTGTCTGAGACTTCACCAAGCACCTTTAATGTTCATATTTCCAGCAACATTCTGTTCATGTGAAAAATGTATTTTCTAAGACAATAGTAGCTTTCTCCAAAGCTCTCCTCTTTCCTTTCTGAGCCCTCACCAGAATCTCCTTTAATGTCTATATTTCTAAAAAAGTCTTTTCAAGGAAATCCATGCCTTTTCTTTCACGCACCACACAACTCTTCCAACCTCTATCCACTACCCAATTTCAAAGCCATTTCTAGCATTTTAGACATTTATTACAGCAGCTCCCCAATTCCTGACACCAAAATCTGTACTAGTTTTCTAGGGTTTCCATAATAAAGTAATACAAACTGGGTGGCTTAGACAACGGAAATTCATTGTTTACTGTTCTGGAGGATAGAAGTCGGAAATCAAGGCATTTACAGGGTTGCTTCCTTTTGAGGGCTGTGAGGAAAGGAGCTGTTCCAGGCCTGTCTCCTTGGCTTGTAGAGGGCTGTCCTCGCTGTGTGTCTTTACATAGCTTTCTCTTTTTGTGCCTGCCAGTGTCCTAGTTTCTTCTTCTTATAAGAACACCAATCATATTGGACTTGGTGCCCACACTACTCTAGTATGGGCTCATCTTAATTATTTATACCTGCAATGCCCCTATTTCCAAATAAGGCCACATTCTGTGGTATTGGGGATTAGGATTTCAATGTATGATTTTTTTGGCTGGGGGGAGGACACATTTTAGCCCACAATATCTCCCTTACATGGTACCAGTTGATTAGGCCAGGGTTGGGCAGCTGATCTATATATTACTAATTTATAGTTGGCCTATGACATTATCTAGAATGAACAAGTAACTCTTGGGCATTTAACTTGAAAAGTCTAGCATCATCCAGAAAGTTTGCAGGAAGAGGTAACACTGAGAGAAACACAGAGAAGAGTCCCTGAGGTAAACAAGGGTTCCTGAGCAAGCCAGTTATGTGGGGGCAGTAGCTCTGAGTCTTGAATAAGCTGAGATGTGTGATTAGGGTAAAGATACAGGGCAGGGAGAAGTAGCAAAAGGAGACTCAATAAGCTACACATGGAGAAGGGCCGACAGAGAGCAGTGGAGTTAAGTGAAGGCAGAGCACTAGAGGATAAATAGGTTCAGTATCACAGCCAAGGCCCCCGGAAATGACCAGGATATGGTTCCAGGCCCCATGAGGCCAGGTCCTGCTGTGGCCCCTGTTCCTGGAATCATGATCTCTGTCTCCTTCCTAACTCCTTTCTTACTGGCCCCTCCCCGCAAAAAACCCCAACACCTCCTTGAGCTAAGCCAGGTACAATACAAGGAGCCCAATTAAATTAGCACCTAATTCAAGGATGGAACAAAGTCGGTCCTCAACAGTGTTAGTTTCCATCCCTCTTCACCAGCTGTTAACTAGATCAAGATTCTGGTGCACAAAGCTACCAGACTAAGCAATGGCCCTTCCATGGTGGTTGGCTCATTAACCCCTCTTACTCTTATATGGGTTTTAATGAGTTAAGGCACTGTCAGATGCCGCTTCTTTCAGGAACACATCCTTCAGACTGTACAAACCTTGGTACAAACATTAGGAATTGTTACACTTAGAAACTCTCATTTTTATGTTTATAAACTGAGAAGAGGAGGTCATCACAGAGCAGTGGCTTTCCTTCTCTTTAGTATGCAATAGCAAAGGTGGGAGAGGAAAAAAGAGAAAACTGATGAGAGAAAAGAGATGGCTGACTGTTGCTAAGCAACCTTTGTTGGCAAAAAATCTAAAAACAAGAATCATGAGCTTGTAATTTGGCCAATATCATAGAGGATATTTATAATTCCTGAGAGATTTGTTTTCAGACCATTCCTTTTTGTAATTGAAGCACTTAATCACTTATTTTAGAGATGGTTGTCATAATTACATAAAATTTTATCACTTAAAGCTAATTTTGGAATGTCACTGATTGAGTTCCAAGTATTTGCAGAAGATATCTTAAGTTTTTTTTTAATGAAATATGCATCAGAATATATATGGTTTACACATGAGTACCATGGCTCTCCATATCTATAGGCAAGTATGCGTCTCTCTGTTGCTGTTATAGCACTGAGAATGGAAGGGCAGCACCAAAGCTTACCGTTTACATAATTACAGTCTTGGATAGGGAGATTAATTCATCCTGATTTGTCCAGAAATTTCCCAAGTTTAGTACTGAAAGTCGTACATCCCAGGAACC
The DNA here is from genome assembly GCF_000001405.40 of Homo sapiens. Lineage (NCBI taxonomy): Eukaryota > Metazoa > Chordata > Mammalia > Primates > Hominidae > Homo > Homo sapiens. Next base: position 170,776,227 of record NC_000003.12, on the reverse strand, counting down.
CCCTCAGTCCTGGGCAGACCAGAACAGTTGCACACCTTATCTCTGATCTTATTGTTGTACCTAAGAGGGTTAGATTGGATTTGCAATGAACCCTGGGGCTAGAGTGTTCTTGAAAGATCTTTTCTGAACACAGCTGAACTTCATATCTTCATATGAACTTTATATCTGGGGATTCCTCTGGGCAACTAGCTAGTTTGAACCTGATGGGCTTTAATTCATTTGGTGGAGCCTCAAGAAAGAGTAGTTCAGTGGAATCCACTGGAACTCCTTGGGAGTGAGAGTGAAACCAACCTGTTTCCTTAATCTGTATTCTGGGCCCATATCTTAAGCCCAAGACTTCCAACCTCTTGTCGAACCCTAGATGCTTTATATATGTAACAAATTCCTGTCTATAACATCAGTCATTATACAAAGCAATTCCCAATGGGTATGGATGTAGTGGGGTCTGCCATGGCAGATGTGTAGTAGTAAACGGATGTGCAATTTGAAAGAGAAAGCCATCCTGCAGTTCTTACATGTATCCCAGGGAAGAGGCTGTTCCCACTATGGGAGCAGTCACATCCTCTCACACCAATACAAAAGCATTCTTTCGAACCACTTTGGCAATCAGAGGTTTGGGTTAGGCACAATAAATTGACCAACTACATGTCTACTTGCCTCTGAGGTTCTTGGCACATGGTACTATTGACTATGTGATCAATTGGCCTGCATCCTGTGATCAGTTGACTATGTGATCAATTGACCTGCATCCTGTTATCTAGGGCACATAATAATAAGGTAGGCTATGCATCACAGCAAACTGAATTCAATGTGGAGGGCCCAGGAAGGAGGTATTCAAGGTGCATAAATAGTTAGAAAATAAGATGGCCAGAACAGTGGTAATTTAACTTAGTAGAGATAAGACTGGGCATGGCGCAGTGGCTCACGCCTGTAATCCCAGCATTTTGGGAAGCTGAGGCAGGCAGATCACCTGAGGTCAGGAGTTCAAGACCAGCCTGGCCAACATGGTGAAACCCTGTCCCTAGTAAATATACAAAAATTAGCCAGGCGTGGTGGCTCATGCTTGTAGTCCCAGCTACTCAGGAGGCTGAACCCGGAGAATTGCTTGAACCCGGGAGGTGGAGGTTGCAGTGAGTTGAGATCATGCCAGTGCACTCCAGCCTGGGTGACAGGGCGAGACTTTGTCTTAAAAAAAAAAAAAAAAAAGATAAGACTGAAAGGTAATAATCAATGCTCATGTAGATAAGGATTATTTCAGCTAAGGGATAGGTCTTGTACTGAAATAGAGCAAATAAGGGAAATTTTGAGCAATCCAAATATGCCAGAGTTAGGTGGAACATCCTGACATTCAACATGTAATAATTATATCTCATCTGGCAATACAGGGATGCCCTGTATCCAGGGTTAACAAAGGATTTCCCAAGGCTTGACCTGATAATTCTCTGTGTTAATCAGTTTATACACTGCAGGAAAGACCCTAGATGAATGTACCACCACAGGTGTCCCTAATAATAATCCATGGTATCGCTCAATGCCTTGAATGAATACCAAAAAATTCTACAGTGATTTGTGTGTGTGTGTGAGCTGATGGCTAAGAGGCTGAGAGGTGAAATAGGACTAGGCAATTAGGTTGTAAAGATGTAGAATAAAACTCAGTTGATGCCCTTAAACTCAGCATCATGCCATTCTTTCAAATGAATAGAATTATGTTTTAGGCTGGCATTAAGGAGGGACAATGATGTTGCATATTTAACTAACAAATGCTAAGGGAGTTATAAGTGGATTTAAATGAAAAACTTTGCAGGTGAAGAAAGATAGAAAAAAGCTGAGAGTAGAAAAATAACAAAAAGCTCTCATCATTCTTTATTCTGGGAAAACAAGGGTACCAGTTTCTGGGTTGACTTGCTTATGTAAACTAAAGCATTTTTAAAGGGTGCAACCCATACATTATCTTCCTTAACAATGAATGAAAGGGTGGTACTATAAGTCACAAGAAAGATTATAGTGGGGTGAGTCAAGCGAATACTCAGAATTCTAAAATTCTGAATTCAATTCTTTGGGCTCAAGGGATATATTCTTACTTATATAATACTAAGTCAACAAGGAATTGGTATGGGGCATGGTGTAAAGTAGGGGAGGGTTGTGGAGGTTCAGAGATGGCTTTTTTATTCCATCTATCTTGTTCTCAGATCCATCCACAGACACAGGAACTTAACCCTAGACTCTTAGGGGCCCCCTGTGGCTAAGCCCTCAGTCAGCAGAGCTCGTTTCACCTGCACTATCTTCCTTGCTCCAACCTCTTTCCCCCACTACATACACACACACACACACGCACACACACACACATGCACACGCACACACACATACACACAGTCCCCAAGCCCTTTTAGGTCATTTCATGACCAGCTTTCCACTTAGTATAGCACATCAGCCATCTTCTGCTCCACAGGGACTAGGAAGTGGGGACATGCTTCTTCAGATCCTGACCTAGGAGAGAATCCCTACAAACACATTTCCTACTAGAACAGCTACAAATCTTATTGTGGTCAATGAATGTCTGTTTCTCTCTCAACCTTAAAGCCTTCCTCCCAATTCTTATCCTCAGTAGTCACCAGAAAAGGGAAACTTGTCCTGCCACAAAAGCATTTGAGGTTTATCGTCTTTAATGCTCGTATCCCAGAGCAAAGTAGTTGGAGAGGCTGATTCAGTAAACAAAGATTTGGACCAGGGAGAAAGGAAGGAAGAAACGGGGGAGAGAATATGTGAAAATAAATAAGGAAAATGAAGGAAGAGAAAAGAAAGACAAAAGGTAAACCATTTTCTAATTTGCCAGTGGAAGGAGTCTATGTCCCACAGACTGTATAATAGGATGACAGGAGTCATATTCTCTGTTCTCTCAGGACTTTCATCCTTGCCATTCCTTATCCCCAGAATGCTCTTCCAGCAGACTCTGGCTTGCTCCCTTGCTCCCCTTTTCCTCTGTTCAAGGTCAGCTTGGCAGGGAGGCCTTTCCTGACTACCTCTGACCCCTTGTCTTTATTCTTGCCCTTTATTCTTCTTGTCTAGCACTTATCACTGCATAATAAGTAGTACTACTTATTATGTTTTTACTTGTTTATTGTCTATTTTCTCCATGCTAAAAGGCAAGCTCTGTGTGAACAGGGACTTGCTGGTCCCCAGAACAGCCATCCTCTGCAACATAGCGAAAGGTCCTTAAGTATTTATTGAATGAAAATTAGGGTAGGGCTTCCTCTGGGAGCTTTACTGATGTTTTCAGGATTCACTCTATTGGTTTCAAGCACACAAGATGGGTGCTGGGGTATTAGGCCTATGATCAGTGTTCTTCAGCTAAAAGAATAAACATCAGAACCAACCTGGGCACTCCTTGGTTTGTAGACCACCAGATGCTTCCTGGCAGACTAATTTCTTTCCTCTTGTGGTAAATGAGGAAGAACTCCTAATACCTGGGTGTGAATGACCAAGGGCAATGGCCTTTCAGACACTGTAAGCCTTTAGATGGGTAGGAATTCTTGAAGGATACTAGCCAGTTGCATACAGGTCAAAGCCATCTGGGAGCTCTATTCTATGGGCTGCAACCCTTGCCACTCACTCCCAACAGGCAAGTGGATGTTTTAATTTGACTAGCTGCAACTCATTTTATCTCTGCAATAATTTGAGCAGAAAAACATCTGCTTGAAAAGAGCTTTGAGACCCTAGAATAAAAAACCAATGACCCAAGATTAAGCAAAGGGGAGTGTGGATGTGGGAGAGTCAATTAATTGAACACTGAAACATCCCACTTGGGGTTTGGGCTCATCTTCAAAATTCTTTTCTTGTTTCATCTATTGTAATTCCCCCAGACTGCTACAAAGAACTTGCATTTTATCCAAAGTAAATATTCCAGTAGATGAAATCTAAGCAGACCACTCTAGCACTACAAAGTGGAATTCTAATGGGTTTCTCCCACGCTGAGATTTGAGACTTTGGTGGAGGTGGGGTTGGGAGAACTATAGTTTTGAAATGAACAGTATTTTCTCTCTCTAAATCAATTTTACTTTAATGGATCTACACCTCCAGACCAATCTGTTGTAGCAGGCTGAAAAACAAAAAGTTTCTTTGGAAATATTCCCCTCTCCACTACCAGATATAGAAAATCTTACCTTATTCTAGATGTCTGTATCATTTTCTGCTTTATTTGCACATTGTGTATGCCTCTTTCACTTCTTATTAGCCTGCAGTATTTTTATGCCTTTTCCTTAAACTTGATGGACATCTGAGGATGACTTGGAAGCTCTCTCTCGGGAATGTCATGCTTAAGACAGACATGGCTTTCCCTCAAATCAAAGATGAGTTGAACAGCTGGCAAAGAAGGTCATTAGCTTTAGAATGGCTACATTTTTTAAATTATTTTTTAAAATTTACCCCTCCGATAGCATCAAGAAGAAAATTTAACATTTCTATGCAAGTCCTGAGCATCCTCTTTGTGCAAAGACAGATGACCACTGGACTGAGACGTTTCTGCCATTGTTTCTGCCTGAGGTCTGAGTCAGAACCCTTCCTCGAGCACCTGCTCTGTGTCCAGGATTCTGCTATACACTTGGTGTAGGGACTCACAGGAAGAAAAGATGCAGCACAGTCCTTCAGCATTCCTGAATGGCCTCTGTACAGGGAGGCTGCTCATGAATGTCCTAAAATATCTGCTCTCAAGTCAATCTTGCCTCCTCCAATCCACTCTCCATACAGCAGCCTGAGTAGCCTTCCAATACCAATCAGATGAGAGTCATTATCCCAGCTGAAACCCTTCAGTGTCTTGCTCTGAGTAACTTGGGATAAAGTCCAGCTTTTCTTTTTCTTTTTTTGAGATGGAGTTTCGCTCTGTCGCCCAGACTGGAGTGCAGTGGTATGATCTCTGCTCACTGCAACCTCCGCATCCCGGGTTCAAGCGATTCTCCTGTCTCAGCCTCTTGAGTAGCTGGGACTACCGGTGCACCCCAACATGCCCGGCTAATTTTTTGGATTTTTAGTAGAGATGGGGTTTCGCCATGTTTGCCAGGTTGGTCTCAAACTCCTGATCTCAGGTGCTTTGTCCGCCTTGACCTCTCAAAGTGCTGGGATTACAGCATGAGGCACCACATCCAGCCAAAGTCCAACATTTTAAATATGATTTATTCCTTGCCTAACCTTTCCAGCTCCATCTCTTACCTCCCGCTTAGAGCTCTGGCTGTGAGCAACATTTTACCTTCCTTAAACACACCTGTCCCCTTGTGCTGAGGCTCATCTCTGAGCCTTTCCATCTGCTGCTTCGGCTGCCTCACATTCCCACCCTCCCTTTCCTGCCCCTCATCGCCTGGAAATCCCCATTCATCCCTAATGTCTCCAGACTAGGTCCTCTTCTATATAGTTCTACACAAGAGTCTTCAACTCAAATACGTTCAGGTGCAAGACTGATAAATCAGACAGGTGAAACTGACTCTATATGAGACAATTCAGAGTAGAGGAGAGTAGCAAATGGTAGAGTGCATCCTTTTCTAAATAGACAGTCATTGTCTCAGCTCCAGGCAAGTGTTGCCATTTGGGACTACAAGCCTACTTTTGCCATCTTTTCTTATTTTTAAAGAGACATTAGAAATCTATATTTTTATTGGAAATGCCTCGATGTTTAACATGCTCTGTGGGCCCAGATGTGGCCTGTTAACCATCCAATGAAATATAGATTTGCTTTAGTTGTCTTCTCTGCAGAGTCTGTTTCTCAAACTGTAGTGAGCACGTCCTCAAAATGCAGAGATTTAGGCCTCACTTTCAGAGGGAGGCAGATTTGGGGGAGGCAGGAAGACAGAGGTGGCAGTCTGTGTTGTTCATTGTTTTATGGTACTTACAATGCCTAGCATGGGATCTAGGGCATAGCGGGTGCTCCAAAAATTACTGGTTGAATAACACATCCTAAGTTGAAGTATCGAACCTGGCCTAGTTCACAAGCTGCTGCCTCTCAAATCACCAAGACTAGTTGGGAATGAGTTGAGAGGAACTGACGCCGGCTACCACCAGCCCTCCCAAATTCCCTCCTATTTTTAGTTTCTGGAATTGAGGTTTATCCAGATATGGTACTGGATGAGGTAAAACCATGAGCATTTAGGGCATTGTATCTTTTTCCCTGACCAATTTAGATTTTTCTAGAATCAGTTGCTGAGGAAAGAGATGAGTAGTTTCACAGACAGGACAGTGAAAATCAGAAGGTGGTCTGCTTGGCAGCCCAGGGAGGGAATTCTAACCTCCTCCTAAGCTTTTCTCTGCTGGGTCCGGATTTCAAGGTGTCTCCATATACATGAGGGCATGTCCACCTGGGTGGTAAAAAATGTCATCTTGCATGGACAGCCTGGAGTCCATCTGGGAAGACTCCCTGCAGTGCACTCCACACTAAAGGTGGGAAAACTACCTCTTGTAAACCAGATTATTTAGTTGTAAGCTATTCTGTGCTTATTTACTTTTAATTTTCATTACAAGGCCTTTAGCACAGTCTTGCTTAAATGTTCCAGCCTTATCTGGAAGGGGAGACACCTCAATATAAGCAGCACCCTTTAGGTGCCAACTGGTGGCAGCAGTAGAGACGGAGCAGTATGGTCCTAGAGTGCTTGTTAGAAATGCACATGCCCAGGCCTCCTGCCCTCCCCTAGACCTGCCTCCTTCTGGGAGTGAGGCCTAAATCTCTGCATTTTGAAGACATGCTCACTACAGTTTAAAAAGCACTGCCTGGCCCAGCGCAGTGGCTCATGCCTATAATCCTAACACTTTGGGAGGCTGAGGCGGGTGGATCACTTGAGGTCAGGAGTTCGAGACAAGCCTGGCCAATATGGCAAAACCCCATCTCTACTAAAAATACAAAAATTAGCAGGGCGTAGTGGCACATACCTGTAATCCCAGCTACTCAGGAGGCTGAGACAGGAGAATCACTTGAACCCGGGAGGTGGAGGTTGCAGTAAGCCGAGATTGCGCCCCTGCACTCCAGCCTGGGTGACAGAGTGAGACCCCATCACAGAAAATAAGTAAATAAATAAATAGCACTACCTAAGGAGAAGAGTAAGGGGAGGTGAATTTTTCCCTCCTTCGTGTCTACCTTGTAACTTTGAGGTTTCATTTTGTCCAGGAAGATGGCAGGTATTTTTTTCTGGGGCAGAGATAATGCTTATTTCCTGAATGTGTCACACGGCATGATCTAATAAAGGCACACTTGGCTAAATGGTCCTAATGATTTGGACCTTTGCGCAAGGCGTCAATTTCAGCTCTGTTGCTCACTTATGCTCTCACCTGAGACTTTGGTGGGCTTATTTTGTCAATAAATATGTGGACCAAGACCCTGTAAGTAGGCCATTTCACAGTCATCCTCTTGTCTGTCTTCCTAGCAGTCAACCGCAGGAACAGACTGTTCAAGTGCATAAAAAGAGACATGTAGTGACACTCAGCAGGGAAGTAGGTCTTTTCTAAATAAGCAGCTTCATTGTTTTCCTGCTCTGTGTGGTGTTTACAGCATGGGAGGCTGACCAGCTCAGTTGACTCAGAAACAGAAAGAAAAATCAGGGAGCTGGGAGCTGGGGAGTTGTCTCAGTCCCTGCCTCACTGTGTGGTCTGTGGTGAAGTCCTCTGCCACCCCCCTCCACCCTGACACCCTGTAACGAGAAGGAAACCACACTACCATGCTCTGTAAGCTGAGGATGATAGGATCATGCATACTGGTTATTCAAAAGCAGTTTGCAAATTCCAGCATGAGATGAGTCTGCTATCTGTGTGTAGAGGTGAGGAAGGAGAGTCTGGACTGTTGCTGAGCCACATGTGCTATTATTGGAACGATGTTATTCCAGAGTCTGACCAGGTTTTAATTCTTGGCTTTGACATTAGCCTAACTGTATTATCATGAGCAAGTCACCTGACCTTACCAATCATAAGTAAGGAAACTTAATGCGAAATGTGAGATGGGTTAGGTGATGCCTAAGGTCCTCTTGATGACCCTAGCCCTGTCTAGTCCCTTCTGAGTTCATTCAGAAGGAAATCACCTTTGCTCAGGAGCACCATTTGTTGCTCTGACTTCCTTCAAGTCCTAGGTAGTTTGGTCTTGGAATAGGTACCACAGAGCAGAATAGGCTCTATAATACCTCTTGTGTCCCTTCATATGTAATTTAAAATTAAAGCAGTATGAAGCTATAAGGCAAGTGTTAGGAAGTACAATTCAATTCTCATTTTTTCCTACAATTAAATTTTTTGAAATGTTTTCTTGGAAATAGCAACCAAATTCTTTAAAAAACAATTGTTTTGGTGCCTCTGATTTGCAGAAGACAAGAATGTGTGTTTATTCCTGGTTAACTCAACACCGGAAAGACCATCTTGCTGTCTCTGCAGGGATTCTGCCAGTAATTGAGCCTCCACCACAAAGTGGAGATAATTCTGCTCAGAGAAGAGGAATTGGGGTATGAAGTGTGAAGGAGAAAGGAATCCAGGAAAGTAAACACTCAATGATAAACTGAACCCCATGGTCCCAGCTCAGGTTCAGATCTCAAGTCCTTGTTTTGATTCAGATAGCTGGGAAGGGAGTGGTGTTTGTCTCATGGGCTCTCTGATAGCTACTCTAAACCAAAGCTGGCTGATTAAAAAGATTCTGGGCATTATTATGAGAAAATATCAGATCAGTAATATTCTTGTCCTCATCAGGAGCCCTTTGATCAGGTCCTTCAGGTTATGGGGCTGTCAGGTGGTACAAAGAAGAGAGTGAGGAAGGCCCTGTTGATTCACTTGAGGCCTGTACCTCCAGCATGGGGCCTCTGAGTTCCCTTTCTCTTCCCATTGTCTTGCCTTTTTCTTTCCTTGAAAGTTATGTCACCATCTGAACACAGCTCTTCTGCCTTCTGGGCTGAGACTTATCCTTTCCTCTGAAGCAGAAAGCAAACAGGAGGTCAGCCACCTGCCAAGATCTAGCCTGTGGGACATGGCCAAGAACCTCCCTCTTCATTATATTCCTAGTTTCTGCTGTTTAGGACCCAGTGGACAGAGGGTCAGATGATCTCACCCAAGTGGCTGACTTACAAAGATATTGATTTTCTGTAAAGTTTGAGGTGGTGGGCTGGGGCCAGGGAATGTGATAGGAGCCTAGGCATGGAAGGCCTTTCTTGCTGAGGAGCTTGGGAGAGGACGTACTAAATAATTTTAAACAGGAAGTGAAAGATCAGATGTGTGCCTTAGCAAATCACTCGGTGTTGAAAGTAGATTATGGCAAAGTAGTCAATGGGAGATATAATGGTGGCTAGAGTGGGGGTAGTGTGAACGGAAATGGGGAGAAGTATATCGATTCCTGAGATTTTGGAGGGAGCATTGACTAGTCTAGGTGATTTACTGACTATGGGGGATTGGGAGTAAGGGAAAGAGAGAAATCTAGGTTTTTAGTTTGGACAAACGAGATGATACTGAGACCATTCACTAAACTTGGAAACACAGGTGGAGGGACTGTAATTTTGTCTGGGTGGCAGATATTGAAATGATGAGTTTGATTTGACTATATGATTCTGAGGTATCTTTGACATATTCAAATACAGATTCTATTAGATAGTATTATACACTTGCCTGGAATTCAGGAAAGACATCAGAGCTGGAGAAAACCACGAGGATAGTTGAGGTTGTCCGGGGAAGAGCTGCAGAGTGAGCACAGCAGAAGTCCTAGACTACCCTTCAAGGAGCACTCATGAGAAAGGAAAGGAACCTTGCAAGGGGGGCTGAGAAGGAGATGCCAGAGAGGGAGGAAGAGAGTCAGGAGACTTAAAGGAGGAGTGCTTAATGGTGACAAGTGTGGCCAAAGGGGTAAGAAAAGGAAAAGGTGAAGTGCCCATTGAATACAGCCAAAAGGGAGTTGTTTGTGATCTTGTTAAGGGTAGTTTTAGAGGTGTGGCGGGGACTGAAACCAAAATGCAGTGGGTTGAAGAAAGAGGGGAGGAGAGAGTGAAGGGATGACTATTTTAAAAAGTTTGCCTAGGAAGGGGAGACAGGAGTGGCTGGGCTGGAGGGAGGCTGTGTATAATCAAAGGAAGTTTGTTTGTTGTTTTATTGTATTTTGTATTTAAGATGAGAGATAAGTATAGTGATGTAAAAGAAAAGAAAGAAAAATAGCCGTCAAGTATGTCCAAAATGAATGAATCTGAAGAGTGTCATGCTAAATGAAAGAAGCCAGACTCAAAAGACATCATACTTTACGTGTAAGGGATTCTAGAAAAGGCAAAACTATAGTAATGGAATGCAGATCAGTGTTTGCCAGGGCCTGGGGGTGAGGCAAGGGACCAACTGTAAACAGGCAGCAGGGAGCTATTCGGGGCATTGGAAAAGTTCAATACAGGCAGTTTTTGCTTTGCATGTTTTCCATATGCCCAAATTTCAGTTTATCATAGTTTGGTTGAAAAACATGAGTTCCTCAACAACATAGTTCCAAATTTCAGTTGCCACAGTTCTCTTAACTGTAATTGCATAAAGTACAAATTCTGCTGCTAGCTCTTCAGTCTGCAAATTGTTGTGTAAATAACAGATGTACACATGATCAGTGACTGGCCACATCCCGTCTGTGACTGACCAAAGTCTGTTGGTCACAGCACACTTGATATCCATGTGACTTGCAGACAACAAAGCATATCTCTCTGTTGACTGCTTGTGTCCCAGTGATAAAATCCATATGACATTTTACAAAAATGAGCTAATCGAAAGAGGGAATTGGCCAACAGAGATGAAATAACAGCAAATAAATGAAAAGTGATAATGCTGGACATGAAATTAGAATTGAATGTAAATGATGTTCTAAAAGAAATAGCTGGCTGTTTGAGAGACTCTAGATCTGCAGCCAGAGGAATTTAGAAAAGGTGAGCTTATTGACATCAATGAGGAAAGTAGTTGTGATGAAAAAGATGATGATGTCCCGGAAGAAGTAAAGTTGATATTTGTAAAAAACAGACTTCACATAAAAGGCATTCTCAGAGAGCTATTTCATGACCTTGAAAATACAAAAGATACAATGTTTGGAAGCAGATCCAGACCTAGAAAGGAGTCTGGCAATTCACCAAGGCATGGGAAAGATGCTCACTTTGTATAATAGGTTACAGGACAGTCCAGGTGTGGTGACTCGTGCATGTAATCCCAGCACTTTGGGATGCTGAGGCCGATGGATCACCTGAGGTCAGGAGTTCAAGACCAGCCTGACCAACATGGTGAAACCCATCTCTACTAAAAAAATACAAAAATTAGCTGGGCGTGGTGGCAGGTGCCTGTAATGCCAGCTACTTGGGATCAGGAGGCTGAGGCAGGAGAATTGCTTGAACCTGGGAGGCGGAGGTTGTAGTGGTCTGAGATCGTGCCAATGCACACCAGCCTGGGTGACAGAGTGAGACTCTGTCTCAAAAAAAAAAATAGGTTACAGGACAAGAAGGAGGCAAGCACTGCTCCTGCTGCTCTTGAAAAGCTTTTCACAAATAAATAAAATTCTTTAATTCTCAGTGTTTCTAATGTTTTAAATTACAGTGTACTAAATAAACATTTGCTTTACTACTTTTTATTTCTCAATTCACTGACATGAGTGTTTTGAATGTTTTGACAAAAATGTTTGTAAGTCACAGACCAGTTGAAATTTTCCTCATTATGTATTAACTTGGCTTTGCGTGGTCTCAGATTGCATGGTCACTTTTACTATCCCGTGCTACTGTGCCAAGCAAGGACTGCCTATATCTCAATTGAGGGGTAATTATAAGACTATGCTTGTCAAAACTCATCAAATTGTATATTTAAAACAGGTGACTTTTTGTATGAAAACTGCATCTCAATAAAACTTTTAAAGTAGCAATTATATATTGAAACTGCTATTTGACATTTTAAAACACGTATTATCTCTAATCTTGCAGCAGTGCTGCAGGGTGGTTATGATATCAATTCATAGATAAAAGAACAAAGGCTCAGAGAGGTGCTATGACTTTCCAAGGCCACACAGCTAACAAACATCAGAGTTATGCTCTGTGCCCTCCCTACATCAGAGGTCTCAAACTGGGCTGCTTATTATTAGAATCATTAGAGGAGAGAGATTTTAAAGTCCCAGTGTCTAGGCTGCATCCCTAACCAGGTTGGTTCACCAGGGCCTACACCTGCTGTCTTTCATCTGGCCAGCATGAGATCACATGGGGTGACATCCCACATGAAAATCATTTTCAAATCTGGGTGGGGGAATGGAGTGTCTAATTTCTGTAAATAGGAACCAGTGAAGGTTCATTACAATTGTTTTCTATATAGAGGCCCAAACTGCAAAGCAAACTTATACAATTTATAATCTTGTCTAGACCAAAAAAAAGCCACAGGTAGAATTGAGATTTCCTTTACAATCCTTTACAATGTACGAGATTTGGGTTCTGAAAGACTTTTTAATCTCAGTTTTAACTCTGACTCTTTAATCCTTAATTTTCAAGAGTTATTGAGTACCTGTTATGGCCTAGGCACTTGCTGAGGGCTTTCGTACACTATCTCATTAAGTCCTCACCCACGACAACCCCATTATCCTCATTTTTCAGATGAGATTCAGATTATTTAAAGTCTAGATTTAAACCCACATCTGACTCTGAAGCCTGTACTTCTACCTGCATTATGTCATTATAATTACTAATAAATTGTTATTAAATAATATTGCCTAAACAAAATGTCTAGTAAGGTTCCTGGTGTATGGAAAACACTTAGCAAATGTGTGTTCCCTTTTCTAAGGCTCTTGTCAACAGGGTTGGAAGGGACTTCCCAAGGCCCATCAGTGGCAATGAAAAGGCAGAGAAAATCTCTGAGGAGCTTTGCAGCCCCAAGTGGGACTCTGGGCAGGAGGGGAATAAAGCAGGTGGGGTCTGTGCCTTTGATGACTAAGGGGCAAGGGCTGTGCTGGTGGGAAATTATCAAATGATGTGACTCTACATGGTGGGCTTGTACTGGGCTTCAGGAAGCTGACACCTTGGGCAGGCTACAGTAGGATGCCTGCTGAATTGTTGGAATACAAAGGACATCTGCTTGAGTCAGGTTCATTTGCCTTTGGGAAGACCCATGTGAAGCAAGTTAAGGTTATGTTTGCTAATCATGAGACACGATATTACCAGCCACAAAACACAGGTGTTAAAAGCCTGGTGGTTAAAGACATGGGCTTTGGAGTCAGGTATACCTGAGGTTAGATCCTGGCCTGACCACTTATTAACTGTGTAACTTTGAGCAAGTGGTTTAGCCTGATTATCTTATTCATAAAATGGAAATAAAACTGCTTACCATCTAAGTCTATTGTAATTCATAAGTAAGTTAATATATGTAAGGCAGCTGGCACAATGCATGGCATATAGTAAGTTCTTAATAAATAGTAGCTATTGTTATTACTGCTGAAACACAAAAGCAGTTGAGAGGAGAATACTATCTTATTTCCTGTTTCATTAGAGTACAATGACATGAGAGCTAAATTTTACAATAAATCCAAAGATATAGGATTCTTACCTTTTTCCATGTCTTCCTTAAGGCACAACTCATGTGTGAACCTGTCTTTGATGCAATTCTTTCTTCCTTTATGTTCCCTTAGCCTGCTTTTTAATTTTTATTTTACCTGTATTATGATACTTCACAGGCTGACTACATTGTGTAAATGTAATAATCTTGAGATCTGTTTATGCATCAAGGGGCATGTTGAGTGTCATTTGGAGAAAGTACTGAGTTCTGGTATCCTTTTTAAAAAAAACCAATAATTTAAATCACTGAATGGAAAGTTTCTGTCCTGAGTGTGTCAATGCCAGTATGAATCAACCAGGTACCTCACAATTTGGAACGGGTGACCATAAAACAATTAGAAAAAAAGATTGATTGAAACTGGAGTAAATGCCTGGTATTAGACTTAAGACAGCCCTCCAATACGCAATCTATGAAGTAAGAGGATAATAGAAAACAGTTGTGATTTGAACAGGGATCAACAGTGTAAAGCTGTTTTTGAAATTTGCAGGATACAGGGTTGGGCCAAAAATGAATAAAGTCATAAATATTCTGATCCTTTGGGATATGTGTACATAGGGAAATACCAAAATATTAAGGGTGATTATTCTAAACATTGACAAATATAAAGATGTTAAATGTAGTCAAGAAAAGTAGAAAATGAAAAAGAAAACATGAAAAACAGGAGAAAGGAAAAGGAGAATGAAACAAGGTCAGAAAAGAAGAGCTAGTTAGCATTTTAGATGCTATGTAAACAAGAATTTCTCAATTTAAAAGTTATTAAAAGTTTAATAAATGTTATTAAAAGTTTCTCAGTTAAAAGTTTGTGAAATGAATGAAACTATCTTCTCGGTTACCTTGAAAGCCACATTCAAATTTAAGGATGAACACAAAGGACTTCTTTGAGTCCTAGGAGTCCATGACACTTGGCTTTCTGGCTTGTGCCTCTGGACGCACTATATGTTTCTAAAAATCAAAATCTTAAACCATGAAGCTTGAGTGGCTAGTGCACTTTTCAGAGGATTCAAATCAGATTTTTGGATTTCTCATTCTGTGATCATCATTCAATTCCATTTGCCAAACAGCCTACCAGACCCCTTTCAGACTGGAAACAAATGGGCCAGGTGAAATAGCAACAAGGGCCCATCCTACAAATACTACCATGTTTTTTTCCCCAGTATGGACTTTATATCAGGTTTCAGAGTCCTCAGAGTACAATCTGTATGCCACTGGAAAAATGTTATTCCTGTTATTCTGTTGTTTCTTCATAGAAGTCCAAGGATGTACGTTTACCTGAAAGTTTTGTAATGCACTGTCTTTCATTCTGTGTCCAGTGAGCAGCCTGGCATGGACACTGTGGCAGCCTCAGTTCTCTGGGGCAGAGCATGAGAACTGGGTGATTAACCCTGTGTAAAGAATGGGGCCTGATTCAGTTCTGACACATTAAAGGGTCAATATTTCTTGCCAGTAATCGTTCCTGCAGGATACCTTAGAAGGAAATCTTACAGAAAGGAAGTTATAGGACTGAATTCCAAACCCACTGCTTGCCGAGTTAGGATGGATAGAACCATAATGCATGCCCAGGTATATGCAGTGCCAATGACCTCATGAAGAAATCTAACTTGTTATTTTCAACAACACCCCTTAGAGTGCAATAAAACCACCAGAGGGTCTGTGCTTCTGAAAGAATGTGTTGCCAGCTGTGGTTGTTGCCACATGAAACCCTACCTGATGCTAACTGAATAATACTCTGCAATCCCATTTCATAAAGTTGTATTTTTAAAAAATTTCCTCTGTTCCTAAGAGCCTTCTGTTCTCCTGCTACCAGTCTCAGGAGTCGTTCCTCCCTCTTTGTTCTCTTCATCTGTGCCTCTTGCCCCCCACCACATAGCTCTACAAATACAATTTTCCTTTACCAACAGCTCCATGCTTTCACTGTGCCCCAGTTAATCATTCTAATTTCCTTTGGTGGTCTCATTACCTCCCAAATTAAGCTCCCCATTGCACCAATATTCAAGCTTAAAATGATTTGGAAATTAAGCCTGTTTTTCCACAAGGGCAAGATGCCTGTTGAAGTAACAGTGTGAGGTTGAATCTCTTTGATGAATGCCTTTTATTAACTGATTAGACTGGATTTTACTTCCTGCCTGAAGTCAGAGTCAAAGAATCTCTGAGTGTGTCTAACCATCTCTACTCTTCTACCTGATCTGAAAATAATGGCCTAACCCTAAAGTGTTCCCCTGTCTCCCTGCTATCTGTCTTGCTTCCCAGCTCCCTGGTAACTGGTTCAGCTTTGTGTGGTGGTGGTGAAAGTTACATTTCTATGGAGAAATGCAGCAGCACATAGCAGAGTGGCAGAGAAGCTCTATTTAGGCTTTGTTTCTTGACCACATCACTTGATTTTTAGGGAGATCCTATGATTGGTATTCTGAGCATTTTCTGAGTTGCCTCATCGCTGGGTCAATGGCTTTATCTACTAAAAGAAACAGAAAGGGAAATTGGTTCTGTCTCACTGAGCTTGCCAGAGTGGAATCTGGCCAAACTGCTAAACACCACTGAGCTTCATTCCTCACCTGTAAAATAGAGATAAATAATAAAACATACACTGTGTGAAGATTAAATAAGACAATGTATGTAAAGTAAATAGCGTGGTGACTGAGAGGTCAGCACAGTGCCGTGAATAAGAGCATGAACTGGAGCAAGACTGTCTTCCCCAAATTCTCCCTCAGTCTTTTGCTGTCTATGTAGTTTAGGGGCAAGCCAAACCACTTGTGCCTCATTTGCCAATCTGTAGAAAGGGCGATAATAAAATTTACCTTATAGGGTTGTTGTGAAGATGAAATGAATTAGTGAAAACTGCTGAGAACCATGCCTGGCACACAACCACAACAAACACTAAAAGTGCTTGCCAAAAAAAGTGTTTGCCATTATTATCAGAAAATACTGGTATTATTACAGCTATTAAAATAAGCTCTGGCCTTGAAAACATTGTCCTGAAAAGCTGATACAATCAAAATGAAGCAATAAAGGTTTAACCTTTGGTCATGCATAGACTAAGATGTTTTACTTACTTTTTCTTTTATTTGCCAAAAGGAAATAGAAAATTCAGAGGCGATGTTGACTTGGGGAGACCTTCTGAGGAAGGAAGAAATCCCAGGTGACCTGGTTCTCTTCACATTCCTCAGGAAGCCCGCTGGTTTCAGGAAGACCTGCACAAAGGGGAAACCTGACCTCATAATTGAACAAAGCTGATTTTTAAACATGGGAAGACAGGGCTAATGGGGTGGTTGTGAGGAGTATTAGTCCCCTTCAGGGAGAGAATTTAATATGACTGAGGTCACAGGAGACAATCTCCAATATACTCATTAGCAAATTAGTATTTTGTTTATCTTTAAAAAAAAGGGTGAGCCGGGCACGGTGGTTCACACCTGTAATCCCAGCGCTTTGGGAGGCCGAGGCGGACGGGTCACGAGGTCAAGAGATTGAGACTATTGTGGCCAACATGGTGAAACCCCGTCTGTACTAAAAATAAAAAAATTAGCCGGGCGTGGTGGCGCACACCTTTAGTCCCAGCTACTCAGGAGGCTGAGGCAGGAGAATCGCTTGAACCCGGGAGGCGGAGCTTGCAGTGAGCTGAGATCGCGCCGCTGCACTCCAGCCTGGGCAACAGAGCGGACTCCATCTCAAAAAAAAAAAAAAAAAAAAAGGTGGGGGTGGAGTCAGTTCAAAAGCATGGTGGGGAATTCTATGTTGAGGCAGTGCAGTATTTGGAGAAACTGCTGAGAAGATGTGAAAGACCACACATAACTATTTTATGCCCCTGTGAGATCCTTGCCAGAGCTTGATGGTGCCCATTAGTTCATTATTCCTTATGTTTTAAACTTTTGGTAGAACCTATAAGGATTATTATATGCCAGATGTATCAACTATGTTATAAACATGAACAATGAAAAGCTATTTTTTAAACCTATATGAATCTTGTGTAGCTTTTAAGAACATGTGTCCAAAAAATAAAGAATAAAAATAAAAACATGTCCAAAAGAACCATCATATAGAGTGGTCTGGTATAGACAGTGAATTAAGAGTCATCTGGGTTAAGTGCCTTTGGGAAAATCACTTCTCTGAATTTTAGTTTCTACTTCCCCTGCTTATTCCAGAGGGTTATTGTGGACACCAAATAAGGTGATGAATGTGAGAAAACACTTTTTAAATGCAAAACTCATGTTAGGAAAACATGTTATAAATGTAAATTTATAAAGGTGAGACTGGGAGAAGCAGGATAAAGAGAGGGAGAAAATCAGAAAGACGTCAGTGAGCAAAAAAGGAGGAGGAAACGTGAGGAAAAAAATCAATTTTCAAGATATTCAGGCATAAAAGAAGGCAGTTTGGAAGTGAAAATATACATGGTAAATGAACGACAATAGACAGAAGCTAAACATAAGTCACATATCTGTAAGACGGAATATTATGTGGATATGAAAAGTTATGCTTATGAAGTATTTGAATGGCATCAAAAACACTCAGCATGTTAACTAACAACAGATACAACATTGTATGTGTGAAGAAAATGCAGCCAATTGCATAAGAAAAGTATTAAAAGAGATTAGAAGGAAACATGGTAAAGCGGTTGCCTCTGAGTCGTAAGCAATTAAAGGAGGTTTCTATTCTTTCTGAAAAATTACCGTTTTCTTTAGTGAACATGAATCACTTTTCTATTTAAAAACTAAGCTGAACTAAATTAACAATAAAAGATAGGAGAAAAGCTAGATCAAGGAGATATATGAAGCAGAGTATCAGGAAACCTCCTGAAGCTTCTTTAGGCCTAAATATGGGATTTGTACCTGAAAGACCAAATATAAGTGCTTTGTTACCTCCACTTACGAGCGGTTCATTGTATACACATTGTATACACATGTACATTGTATACACAGTTCAATTATACACTGCTCATGTAGTACAAGGAACTATTTATTTTATTTTATTATTTTTCACACATTTTATTTTTTTCATGTATTTTTTTAAATTTTAATTTATTTCAATCGTTTTTGGGGAACAGTCGGTTTTTGGTTACATGGGTAAGTTCTCTAGTGGTGATTTCTGTCTGAGATTTTGGTGCACTTGTCCCCGAGCAGTGTACACTGTACCCAATGTGTAGTCTTTTGTCCCTCACCCCCGCATCCTTCCACTTGAGTCCCCAAAGTCCGTTCTTAATGCATCATTCTTATGCCTTTGCATCCTCATAGCTTAGCTCCCATTTATAAGTGAGAACAGACGATATTTGCTTGTCCATTCCTGAGTTACTACATTTAGAATAATGGACTCCAACTCCATCCAGGTTGCTGTGAATGCCATTAATTCATCCAGGAACTATTTAAGTGGTTTATATTGCTAAATAAAATATATGGGAGGCTACTGTTTTGGACTAAGCTCCTGCACTAAGTGCCACCAGACAAGACCAAAACAGAATGGAGTCACTCCTGCTAGATAATCATACTATACTTAGAGATGGGCCAATTTTCAAAAAGAAAAAAACAAAAACAAAAACAAAACAGGAGATTTGCAGCAATTAATCCAAAGGGCCCCAGTCAACCTGAAGCAGCATGAAAGAAGTCCCCTCTACTTTAACTCTGTAAGGAAAGTAACCTTTTTTTTTGAGACGAAGTTTCACTCTTGCTCAGGCTGGGGTGCAGTGGTGTGACTTCGGCTCACTGCAACCTCCACCTTCTGGGTTCAAGCGATTCTCCTGCCTCAGCCTCTTGAGTAGCTGGGATTACTGGCACCCGCCACCACTGCTAATTTTTGTATTTTTAGTAGAGACAAGGTTTCACCGTGTTGACCAGGCTGGTCTTGAACTCCTGACCTCAGGTGATCTGCCCACCCCGGCCTCCTAAAGTGCTGAGATTACAGGTGTGAGCCACCATGCCTGGCCAGGAAAGTAACTTTGAAATGACCAATCTACTGTTGGTTCCTGATTTTTGTTTTCTTCAACCTTTTCTTCCTGGAAAGTCTACCCCCCTGCTCTGATCATCAGAGAGCCTTTCTATTTTGAAGATGGTATACTACTTGACTTATACAAGTCAATTAGATCTTTAAATTCAATTTGTTGAGGCCAGGTGCGGTGGCTTATGCCTGTAATCCTAGCACTTTGGGAAGCCAAGGGAGGCGGATCACTTGAGGTCAGGAGTTCAAGACTAGCCTGACCAACATGGTGAAAACTCGTCTCTACTAAAAACCCCATCTCTACTAAAAATACAAAAATTAGTCGGGCATGGTGGCACATGCTTTGCCACTTATTAGCCCTCAGATCTTAGGAAGTTATTTCTCTGGATCTCATTTTCTACCTCTGTAAAATAAGGAGGGGGATAAAATTTCTTTAAGAGTGTTATGAGTGAGCCATTTATTATTTATTTATTTATTTTTGAGACAGAGTCTTGCTATGTTGCCCAGGCTGGGGTGCAGTGGCACTATCTCAGCTCATTGCACACCTCCTGGGTTCAAGCAATTCTCATGCCTCACCCTCCCAAGTAGCCATTAACCATCCAATAACCAATGTGATTATTACACATTAGATGCCTGTATCAAAATACCTCATATACCCTATAAATACATAAACCTACTATGTCCCCATAAAAATTTTAATTTCAAAAAATAAACTACCTTCTCAACTATCAATAGATAAGGTTGAATTCAATAAGCAAGTTTTGCCCCAGAAGTCTACCTATATGTGTTTGATTTATACTCCAAGATACTTCTTACTGGGCTAGTTTCATGTACTCTGTACAGGGCCAGGGTACAAAGCATATGGGGTTAGAGCTTCTGAAGCTTCAGCAAGTTGAGCCACTGGTGAATGAATGGAAGGAGGCATTCACAGGTATGTGATCCCACATCAAGGGCCTGGCATTGCAGCACAGCCAGTGGCGGTGATTTTGAGGTTTTCTCACATTTTCTGCATTTTATAATTATTCACCTGGTACTGCAGTTTGGCTGGGAGATCAAATGGGTCCTACCATTTGGCATCGTGAGCTTGCTACCTCCCTAGGAAAGATCACTGCCCCAAGCTCACACAGACCCTCCCCCAGCAAGTTGAGAAGCTGCTCACCAAGGGCTCTGTATGGTGAAGAAGGGAAAACCATCTACACTGGACAGTGCAGGGTCCCCAGCACCATGGCATCCTGTTGATCCCTCAGGCCCTGGGGCCACATCTGGGCACGTGCCTATGGGCCCAAAAGGAAGACCAGAGCCCTGTGTCATGAGAATTTGCACAACCAGCCCCATGGAAGTGTCTCACACTGACTTCAGGGCATCTCTCAGTCCCTAGCAAGTCACCATTCACTATTTGATTGCTTGAATTACAAGTTTTCAATGGAATCTTAGAGTTTTAGGGCTGGGAGACGCCTCTGAGATCATCCAATCTCCAAGAAACAGTACAGGGTAGTGTGTGGCAAAATCAAGGCCAGAGGCCATGTCTCCTGATACCCCATCCAACAGGAAGCTGGTGATGGAAAGATGCCTACTCTTGAAGGCTCCTCAGATGGTTTGTTTTATTTGTATGGAAACAAATTTCCCCATTGCACGTTTCAATGTCTTTCTTTTGCTTTCTCTACTTGCTTCCTTATCTGTAAAATGAGACCCTAAAGCCCATAATATGTGTAAAGCACTTGGAATTGTTATTAACACATAGAAAACAGTAAATGAGATGCTGTTGCTATTATTCATATTACTATTATAATCATTGTTAATTTCCAAGGGCTGCCATAACAAAGTAACACAAACTAGGTGGCTTAAAACAACAGAGCTTTTTTGTCTCGCAGTTCTGGAGGCAGGAATTCTGAAATCAAGCTGATAGAAGAGCTATGTCCCCTTCGAAGCTCTACAGGCAATTCTCCCTTGCCCTCGTCCAGCTTCTGGTAGCCCCAAGAGTTCCTTGGCTTGTGGCAGCATAATTTCAATCTCTGCCTCCATCTTCACATGGTCATCTTCCCTCTGTGTCTGTGTCTCTTCTCTTCTTACAAAGACATCAGTTTTATTTAATTAAAGATCCACCCTACTCCAGTATGTTAACTAATGATATCTGCATCCATCCTATTTCCAAATACAATCACATTTACAGGAACCAGGGGTTAGGACTTTAACATATCTTTTGGGATAATCCAATTCAACCCATAGTAATCATTACCATTGTCAAATTAGCACTTGTTGGAATGGACATTTCCATGTAGGGTAAAATGTGTTCACTTCATTCTTGTCATAGCCCTGGATAGAGCTGCCTCAGAGCTTGCCTGTACTCATTTCAGTCAAAAACTGATTTAGATGCTGGGCTTATAGAAGTTTCAGATCTTCTGGATAGAAAAAAAAAGAGGGATTTTAATTTGTGAAGAAACTGCAAAGGCAATACATTAATGCTGCTCTGTTGTTTTTATTAAGGAAGCTATAGAGAAAGTTAGAGTTCATCAGTAGGGCAGTTTCATTAGAACCATTTTTTTCTGACTAGCAATTTCTCAGTATTCTGGGTTTACACATCTAATTCCTCCAGAAGTTTCCCAGGGGGAGAAAAGACAACAAAACTTGAATAAAATTATGACTGTTGCACTTCATGAATATATTATTCTAGTACCAGGACTCTCCAGGACAATTTGTCCTCACAGTTTATTCAGAAGAGGGTAGGATAAGAAAAATGCACACATATTTGTATATGTATATAAATGTTATGTATACATGTATCTATATATAAATAAATACATATACACATAGATATGCAAAGGGTGAGTCCTTATCGTAGCTCCCCAGAACTAAATGTATCATTTGTCATTGATAATATAAGCATAGGTAGAAAATGCTTCCAGTAAATTCCAAGGGAAATGAGTAATTAAGAGAAATACTTTGATGGTGATTTGAAATCCCCATTTTAAAATGTATTTCAAGCTCTTGCCAATTGATTCAAGTATAGGTCATTTCCCCCATTTGCTCTCCATGTCACAAACATCTTTAAATATTGATTATTTCTTTGGCTACTACTAAAATCATGTCATACTACCATATTGAAAAAATTATGGAGATTTTTTTTATTACCCTAATTTGTGAGCTTTGGGCTGTTTATAATTTTTCTATGAGTCATTTTGAAATCCAGGATGCTGCTCAGGAACTCAAATAACAGTGATTTTGTATGCTATTATTCAGCTCCTTCCATACAGAGAACAGACTCTAACGTGCATCTAATGGAGTTAATATAATAAGTGCACTTTTCATGTGAGCAATTCCCCAGTGGGTTGCTGCTTTCTCTTTGAACATGAATCACAGATTACAAAATCTATAAGTAACAAAGCAAAATTTCTTATGCATCTAAAGGAGGAAAGATACCTTGTCACATCTTATTTTATATTCGAAATGCCTTTTCAGTGAAGGTAAGATATTTGTTTCCTAAATTTTTGACTAGTAGAAGGTGCCTCGGTACTTTCTTGGGGTCAAAAATAAGATAAGTGAACTAAAATGGATAACAAAGTGTCCCAAACTGGTAATGATAATGTGAACCAATTTTGAGTTATCATCCAAATGATGTTTTCAAAAGAACACAGAGGAGTTCTCGTCAGAGCATTTTATGTTGATTTTTTTTCTTTTGCATTAATGGTTTGCTCATTCCTGAATCTTGCTTGTTTAAATTGAACAAGCCGCAGTGACAGGCAAGAATGACTCTATTCTCTCTCGTCTTCTAAAAATGGCTTCAGGCAAAATATCATTTTTTCCTCCTGTTTTCCTGATGAAATCAGATAGTCGGATGGCATCTGTTCAGGAAAGAGGGCAGCAGCACGAGGTCTCTGGTGAAACCTAGCCACTCTGATTTGAATCTACATTCACCAGGTATCTTGTAGGGCTCCAGGCAAATGCTACCAGGCTTTGCCCCACTCTCTCCTACTCATCACTTGACCACCATGCCACTTTCACCAAGTTTGAAGTCCCTGGAACACCATTTGTTGATTCATTAACCAACATTTATTACACAACTGCTATGTGTCAGACACTGCTCTAGGTGATGGGGGCCCAAACATACTGTCCCTACCCTCAAGGACAATACTGATTATCTCTTAATCCCCAGGAGCCCCTAGAACACTCGGGCATTAGGCCCCTAACATCCCAGCAAGCCCATTCTGGGTCCCATAGAATTAAAGAATCTGAAGCTAATGCATATTTACTCAGATTTCTATCCCCCGATTTGGATTTGTGGGTTCAAGGGAAAGATTCCAAAGAGGGGTGGGAGTGGAAACTGACATTTCTCTGTACTTCCTGTACATAGTCTGCAGTTGGCCTTATCTGTGGGCACTGTAACTTCTAGGGATGGCTAGTGCCATTTTGAGCCTGAGTTGTTTATTTTGCTCTATAAACTTAAATCTCAGCTGTGTCATCAACAACTAGAGAGAGGAGTAAGGACTCTGACTTCTATTTCTTTGGAATCTGCATATTGTATTATACACCAGTAGGTTCTATAAACATGCTCTTGAGAGGCATATGAATGCATGCTACTGATTTGTCATCAAACTTGTCCTCAGTGTGAATGCACAGATTGGTGTCAGCAGCAACAACTCAGAAGGGAGCTCTCTCTTTTCTTCCTAAATGGCTCTAATAAACACCATCCTGTCAAACCCCAGACTTCTCTTTCACACACTCAGCATATCCTGCTCATGTGTGTGGGAGCTGTAATCACTTCTGGGGTAATTCAAAAATCCTGAATCAACCAAACACTAAACACAGTGATAGGTGCACAGTGCAAACTTAAAAGATATTTGGAGTTGAAACCAAATGTTCTATGAGAAATCTCAGGGGGTCCTTCTGAAATTCGGTCCCTGTGAGCATGACTTGCCTGAGGCCCCCTCTAAAACACGTTCCATCTCTGCTTTCCTCCCTCTTCCTCCCCACATTTCCCTGGAGGGTACAGGCATGCTTGGGTTGGTGCCCAATCCTGAATGACTCAGGGAGTTTACTTTCCTGGTAACATTCCCCAGCTGCCATTTAGAAATAAAAGAAAACAAATACATGGGGCCAGGAGGCCAGGAGCCAGCCAAGAGGTGGTCCTGCATACTGGTTACAGGCTCAGACTCTAGGGTCAGGTAAATCTGGATTCAAATTCAGGCTCTCTCACTTGCCAGTTTTGCACTTGATGGAAATTATGGAATTTCCTTAATGCTCATTTCCTGATCCATGACTAATGATAGTGCCTCTCTTGTGGTTTACTGTGAGGATTAAATAATGGCATTAATGGGAAGTCTTTAGCAGAGAGTCTAAGAGAGAGCACAAGCTCAAACTAAATGTTGCCCAAAAGCATTTTTCTGAGATGCTCTTTTCCTATGCTTCCTGGGGTCTATCCTGGTCTTTATGCCTCTTTGTGGCTGCTAGAATCCCTCTTCTTGAGGATTTCCTCTGCTTGGCTGCCTCTGCCACTTCTCTTTCTCACCCATTGCATCACATCAAAGATGCAGACTCTGATATATACCCTAGCCTAAAGCTCTACTTCCCAGGAATGGGGGCTCCCAACCAATAGTCTCCCTGACCCCAGATCACTCTCCATCAAGCTCCTCCTAGCTTGTTCAAGGCATCTTGTAGCCCGAAACAGTTGACACAATAAAGAATAATTTTGCTTGGTTACAATTTATAAGTGTGTCTTGATTTTATAGGTATCACATGC
Organism: Homo sapiens; assembly: GCF_000001405.40. Lineage (NCBI taxonomy): Eukaryota > Metazoa > Chordata > Mammalia > Primates > Hominidae > Homo > Homo sapiens. The sequence goes on along the minus strand of NC_000003.12, from coordinate 170,751,053 downwards.
TATAACCATAAGCTTTATGTTTGTTCTTATTTGAATAATAGCATGATAAAAATAACTCAAGTGAATGCTGCAATAGTTTCTTTTAAAAGTTCTGTGTGTTTTGTAAGTTGAAAAAGATGGGTTTAAAGGATTAAAGTTACAGCATTTCAAAGCTTTTTTATGAAATGTATAACATGCTAATGTTTACTGTGTAGTACATATGTAAATGCCTTACTTGATTGTACATGTTTTGAGCAGAAATGGAATTGTATTTATATATCTCTATAGTGCCTACTACTGAGTTTTGCCTGTCACATGTTCTCAATATATATCCTAATCATGCAGCAAATGGTTACTGAGTATCCGCCTTGTGGGAAGCAATCTACAAGGCTTTGTAAGGAACACAAAGATGAGAATGACACAGGTCTGTCCTGGAAAGACAAGTGATAGGTAACCAGCCAGCTACCATAAGGGGAGGGTGGTTGGTGTGGTCGGAGATAAAAATTAAATGCTGGAGGTTCAGAAAGGGAATATGTGCTTCTGGTTAAAAGACCTCCCTTAAACCTCATGGAAGAGGAGGCATTTGAGCTGAGATTTGAAGGAGATGTAAGATCTGGACATGCCAAGATGGAGCAGGAAGGCTTTGTAGACAGATGTGACAACTTGATCAAAGACCAGAATGCACACAATACAAATAGAATATGGGCAGGAATCTGATTGGTGGTAAGTATGCTAAGTAGGAGAACAAGCCAAGAAAGCAGATTGGACCAAATCCTAAGGAGCTTGGCTGCAGGCTGTGAGGAGTTGTTCATGGAAAGTTTTTGATTAAGTGAGCAACATAGACAAATTATTCTGGTACTTCCCATTTTCAAAGAGTAAAGAACAAATATCCTAATGAAATGTAATCCAGAATCACAAAGTTTTGAAGGATGTGATAAAATTGGAAGAGTAGAGGATTTTCTGGAATCTATTGCAAAGGCCAGAGTGGGAATTTCTCAGGAGCTTCATGGCACTTAGAGCTGAAACCATATGTTAGACCCTTATCTATCCTCATCAGTATGATGTTTGCTGCTTACATCTGTCAAGTCAGGCAACTTATGAGGCACTCAGAGCCTCACAATCCACACTCACTGATGGAACAAGTAGATATTTCTCAAAGATGAGTAAGATTCTGTTTAGTTCTTTCCTTCAAAGAGACTTCTGAATAATAGGAAGAAGACAATCACTCTGATAATATTGTTCCTTGAAAGCCTGTTCCCAAGGCAAATGACCCATGAGAATGGAGCCTGCTGAGTGAGGGGGAAGAAATTGGATGTAGAGATACCATTTAGGAGGCCAATTCAGCCCTCTATGAGAGGCATAGTAAGGAACTTAATGTGAGGGCCACAGGGTGGGGAGAGGGGGTGGAAAGAAGGGAAGATGGGAGTTTAAAGTGTAGACTTAAAACAAACAGGGCTTGTCACATCATTGGATATTAGATGGGGTAGAAAGAGAAGTTCAACATGACCCTCGCATCTTGTGTGTTTAAAGAGATGATGGGGCCATTGCTCCATCAGTAAGAGCATGTTGGGGAATAGGGGGAGTTGATGAGCCTGGAATATTTTGAGTATCACTGTGACTAGATTATAGGTATCTTCATTCAGTGGTTTGCCCAAGGGAAAGGATTGTGTGATGTTCATGTGAGTAGTCCCAGCACCCAGCACAAAGCCTGATACTGAGAAATTTCTCAATAGATATCAAAGAACTGAACTGTTGACTTGAATGGCCCAGCACACAGATATGCCAGTCTGGTGCTAGGGAGAGGAGTGGATCTGCTGAGAGGTGAATGTTGAGGAGAAAGAGCATAGAGCAAAGAGGCAGAGGACAGCACCTTATACTGAGGTAGCCACACGGAATATGGGGAAAGGAAGAAAAACCCATGAAGGAAACTGAGATGGAACTTTAGAAAGGAGAAAAGAACTGAGAAAAATGCAGGGTCCCTGAAACATTGAGAAGAAAAAACTTCAAGAACAGGAGTTAGAGAATACTTTTTAAACAGGAGACTAAAACCACTAGCTGTTAAGGAAAATATGGAACAATTTAATTAATGTTAACATTTTCTGTCCTTCAAAAGTAACCATTAAGATAGTGAAAAGGCAAGCCACAGATTGGAGAAGATATTGACAACACAGGTAACTGACACTGAACATAATGGAGACTATATGAACAACTACTACAAATAAATAAGAAAATGAAAGGCAGTACAAAGGATAAACAGGCAAGAGACTTGAAAAGGTACTTTATAAATAAAGAATATCCAAATGTCCAAAATGTGTGAAAGGATATCAACTAACAATCATTGGAAAGCAAATTTAAAATATTATACAACTACCTTTATGGCCAAAATTAATAAGACTGATTATGCCAAGTTTTGGTGAGGATTTAGAACTATAGAAACTGATATACTGCTGGTGGGAGTGTAAATGAAGACAAACACAACACTCTGGAGAACTGTGTGGCACTGTTTACTAAAGTACTGGATAATGCAATCTATTCCTCAGTAATTCCACTCTTAGGCATATCTCCAGAAGAAATGTGTGCCCACACATCAAAAGACATACACAAGAATGTTTAGAGCAACACTATTCATCCTACCTCCATCTGGAAACAACGCAAATGGCCATCAACAGTAGGATGGATAAATAAATTGTGGTATATTGTGTGAAACACTATAAGAGCAATAAAAATAACTAAACTGCATCTAAATGCAGGAAAACAAATAAATCTCACAAATATAATGTTGGCTGAAAGAAGCCAGATCCAAAATATTATTATAACCAAACAGAATATACTGTTTGGGGCCAGGCACAGTGGCTCATACCTGTAATCCCAGCACTTTGGGAGGCCGAGGCAGGTGGATCACCTGAGCTCAGGAGTTCGAGACCCTCCTGGCCAACAAGGCGAAACCGTGTCTCTACTAAAAATACAAAAAATTAGCCAGGCATGGTGGCGGGCACCTGTAATCCCAGCTACTTGGGAGGCCAAGGCAGGAGAATCACTTGAACTCGGGAGGTGGAGGTTGCTGTGAGCCGAGATCATGCCACTGCACTCCAGCCTGGGTGACAGAGTGAGATTCTGTCTCAAGAAAAAAAAGAATATACTGTTTGGTTCCAATTGATAGACAAAACTAAGTATTTAGGGGTGCACACTAGTGGCAAAAGAGTAAGAAAAGGCAAGCAAGTAAGTGATGTAGAAACAAGGGTAGTGGTTGCCTTGAGGAGGGCAGGATGGGAACTGGAAGGGTCGCAGCTGGGAGACTGGCATTGTTTAATTTCTTGTCCTGGGAAGTGATTACATGGATAACAATCCATCAAGCTGTGTATTCATGTAGCTTGCACATTTGTATACATATTTTATTTTAGAGGAAAAAAAATTTTTAAAGAACAGGATGGTAAAAAAAATTACAGCTATTTCAGTGTGGGGTTTACGTGGATAATAGCAGAGGACAGACTCTTGGCTTTATGGGTTACTTTTAATTTTCCAAAGAAGAGTTTCAGTAAGACAGGACAGAAGCTACATTTTAAGGGGTTAGGGAAGAAATTGGTTTTAAGGAAATGGAGGTCAATAGTAAAGACATGCAAAGGTTTTTTTGACAAAATGAAGGAGAAAGAAGAGGAGGCAACTTGATTGGGTAGAAAGTTTCCACTTTATTTTTAAGGCTATAAGTGTCTTCAATATAAAGACAATCTGGAGAGGTGAAAAATTCAAATGATAGCAAAGATAATTGATGGATAAGGTAAATGACATGTGGCAGTATTGGCTGTCATTGAGGGGTTACTTCCTAAGTGGTAAACATAAAGGAAGAGCTCTCAAGGATGGAAAAAAGGGGGGTCAAAGAGGAAAACTGGGGTTCAGAGGTCCCCCTTCTGCTCAGTGACACAGAAGGTAAGAGGTGCTAAAGCAGCCTTGAGGACCTGAGAAAGGTATACATGCCCTACGTAGACCCCAGGGTCTGTAGGTGGCATCTCAGGTCTAGCTGAAGTTGGTAGGAAGAACTTGGGTGGATTTGATCAGCAAGGCTTTTGAGGTTCTCTAGCAAGTACAACAGATTGGAAAGAATAATGATGAACTGGACAGTGTCATTTATCATGGTCCATACATTGATGGTAAGGGCAGGCACTGCTGTAGCTATATTTGCAGGGAAAGTTCAGAAAGCTGAAGAGATCAGAAAAATGATATTCCCTTGTTCTTCTCAACAAAATAACAGAGAAGATTATTTGCTGAGGGTGGAGGGATTGAGAGCTTTAAAGAAACTGATAAAGTTTGAAAGAGTCATTGAAGGCAATGAAAGAAGAGCTGATCAAAGTCAAGTTCAAGAATTGACTGACAAGGCAACACGGAGAGCCAGGCTGAGGTTTGGAGCCATGAGTCTGCTGTTGCATGAATCTGCAGGCTGTGTTCCCAAAACACCAAAGGTTCAGTCTAGGTCCTGCTGCTCACCTCACAGAAAGCCAATCACTGAGACAAGAGTATTTCCAGAGAAGAAGGCTTTAATTAGGTACTGCAGCTGGGAAGATGGGACGTCAGTCTCAAATCCATCTCCCTGACCAACTAAAACCAGGAACTTATATAGCAGGGAAGAAATGTAACATGCAGGAAAACAGGAATTAGGGAGGGGTAGGGAAGAGGAGTTGGTCAACAGAAAGCAAGTGGTCAGATAGGCAATCATGATGGGTGAGGGGTCTGGAATGTTGTCCAGATGGAGTGAACTGGTACGTTCCAGTTCCTTGATGCTATCTGGGAGGACTGATGTTTGGTTTCCTGGGAAAGAACTCAGATAAGACAAATTTATCTTCCTTAAGTTTTAAGACTGGAAGAGTCAATTTTTATGTTTATTCAAAAGAAACCATAGTATCAGTTCTATGGGTCAAGTGAAATCAGTTGAATGGGACAATTGGACTTGTTTCAGTTGTAGGATTTTCTCCTCAGCTTCTTGGAGAAGGAAAAATAAAACTGCAGTACTAATCCCATACCATGTTTTGCTAGATGAATATAGCAAGGGACAGGGTGAAGAAGTGGTGGCAAGAAATTAGAAGATACTGGCAGAAATTGGTTTAGGATCTCACCATGTGGCCCAGAATTTGAAAGAAAAGATAAAAGAGGAATTTCTGGATAAAATGAACCTCGATAGTCAAAGAACAAAGGCAAAAGAAATAGAGTCATGAGAACACTGGAAATTTTGAATATTGCAATCTGGGAGGATATTAAGATAACTGTTCCAACTAGTGACAGTTTCTAGGGTGTAAATGGATGGCTGAAGTAGAAACAAGGTCATTAAAAGAAGTGGTCTAGGAACTGAAAGGCTAGGTGATCAGATAAGCCTAATGGATGAATGTTCATAGGATGATAAATAGGTTTCAGATTTTATGCCAACTCAGCCTGAACATTCTGGCTGCCTCAGTGCAGTATTGAGAGGGATTCTGAGGCCATTTTAAGGGCCAGACAAAAAGAGTGCAGGAGTTGGCATGTAGAAGAAAACAGAGTAAGGTATGACTCAGGAATTCAAAGAATGAGAGGTAGTGACTAGTTCAAGAAGAATTGCAGGCATGCAATAAATATTAATCACCAAGTTGATATTCTTTTCTTTCCAGTCAGGCTATATTTCTTCTCTTATCTCTCTTCAACTAGTTACCACCATGAACCCAAATCCCCATTCATTTTAAAGATGGCTTAAAATCTTCCTTTGCCAGCACTTTTTGAGTTTTGTCCAATCAGAGGTCACTCAGTGGAAAACTGTACAGCAACATCCATACACACTTAAGGAATTCCAAGCCATTCACATTGAACCCACATGGTCTCTTAGGAGTGCTCCCAGGGTTGTGTAGAAGAAAAAGAAAGCAAATTGGACCCTTTACAGAAAACACATTTTTATTATCTGTGAAACTCAACTGGCCATTTAGAGTATGATTGTTCTGTACTTGGAACAGTGGAAAGATGGGCCAAGTTATAACACATTAAGCATGCATATTATTTCAATTAATACTCATGATGGCCCTGTTGATGAGATATTATCACTACCATTTATTTAACAAAGTATTTAAAATACTTTGTTATTTTAAATTAAAATTACATCTTTCATGTAACAAAATACAGATGCATGGATAGCATAAATTAAAAGTCTTTTTCTCAACACATCTTACACCCTTGTCCATTTTGTTGACAGAGACAGTCCCTTTGAGATTAAAACACTTGTCAAAAGTCACATAGGGAGTGGAAGAGGTAGCAATGAAAGCCATGTTTGTCTAACTAAAGACACTTTAATCTTTGTTTTATTACTTAAACACCATTGCCTAGTACTAGTCTTTTCAGGAAGGATATTACAATGAGCAGAAAAGATAATAAGCGGCGATCATGAAGACTACTTATTATTAACTAAACAGAAAGATGAGGCAATGTCAAGTGATATGGTTTGGCTCTGTGTCCCCACCCAAATCTCATCCTGAACTGTAATAATCCCCATGTGTCAAGGGTGGCACCAGGTGGAGATAATTGAATCATGGGGGTGATTCCCCCATGCTGTTCTCATGATAGTGAGTGAGTCCTCACAAGATCTGATGGTTTTATAAGGGGCTTGCCCCTTCACTCAGCACTCATTCTGTCTCCTGTGGCCCTGTGAAGAGGTGCCTTCTGCCATGATTGTAAGTTTCCTGAGCCTCCCCAGCCATGTAGAACTGTGACTCAATTAAACCTCTTTTCTTTATAAATTACCCAGTCTCAGGTATTTCTTTATAGCCACGTGAGAACAGACTAATACATCAAGGAAAATGGAAACTGACACAAATGTAAAAATTCTATTGAGACAGACTGACCTAAGCTGGTTCTGTCTATGGTTCTGGACTTGCTTATAAAAGCAAGTGACAACAGCAAAAATATGGAATCAATGTAAGCGCCCAACAATGGATGAATGGATAAAGAAAATGTGGTATACATACAGAATAGAATATTATTCAACCATACAAAAAGAATGAAATCCTGTCATTTGTGACAACCTGGATGAATCTGGAAGACATTTTATTAAGTGAAATAAGCCAGATGCAAAAAGACAAATACTATATGATATCACTCATATGTAGAATCTAAAAAAAATTGAAAGGCTAGGCATGGTGGCTCACGCCTGTAATCCCAACACTTTGGGAGGCCTAGGAGGGAGGATCACTTGAGATCAAGAGTTCAAGACCAGCCTGGCCAACATGAGGAAACCCCCATATCTACTAAAAATACAAAAATTAACTGGGCATGGTGATGTGCACCTGTAATCCCAGCTACTCGGGAGGCTGAGGCACAAGATTCACTTGAACCTGGGAGGAAGAGGTTGCAGTAAGCCAAGATCATGCCACTGCACTCTAGCCTGGGTGACAGAGTGAGACTCCGTCTCAAAAAAATAGATATCATAGAAGCAGAGAGTAGACGGGAGGTTGAGGCAGGAGGATCACTTGAGCCCAGGAGTTTGAGGCTGCAGTGAGCTATGATTATGCTGCTGCACTCCAGCCAGGGCAACAGAGTGAGACCTTACCTCTAAAGAAAAAAAAAAAAAGAAAGAAACAGAGAGTAAACAGTGGTTACCAGAGACTAGAGAGGGGAGTGGGGAAGAATGGAGAGAGAGTGGTCCACGGTACAAAGTTATAATTAGATAGGAGGAATAAGTACCGCTGTTCTATTGCACAGGAGGGTGACTGTTACAAAATAGCTAGGAGAGAAGCTTTTGAATATTCTCACCACAGAGAAATGATGAATGCATGAGGTGATGGATATACTAACTACTCTGATTTTATTGTTATACAACATATATATGTATTGAAACCCTAAATTGCACACCATAACTATGTACAATTACAATGTGTCAAATTTTTTTAAAAAGGCAATTGAACATATAGTTGACTTTCACTTCAGCCAAAGATGGAGTAATAGGGACAGGACTTACTTTCCTCCTGAAAAAAATCTGGAGAAAATATATGAAACAACCAAGACCATGGACATCAGCAATGCAGGACAGTAATTCCTATGGACAGTTGCCCTAGGTTACCGCCTGGAGAGAATGTCCAAGCTGTGCCACAGGGAAGTGGAAAGCAGAAGGGCCCAGTGTTCTCTCTGAGTGGAGGAGATGAAGCAGGGAGTCTGGGAAGGTGGAGTCAGCTGGAGTTCTTGGGGCAGAGTTGCAGAGAGGAAAAATCTGCATGCTAAGGGAACTCCAGAGGTCTGTGGAAGGTTCCCTTTGGGTCTTTAGCTCCATACTGATTGGCACATGTAAGATAAGAAACTATCTGAGGTCGGTATACAAACCAACCAACAGGATTAGAGGGAACATAGCTGAGGCTCACACAGAACCAGGAATAATTTCTGATCTACCAGCCACAGTACAAAACCTCTTAATTCACTGGGCATCAGATGGTGTATTGAAAAGGTCTTTGCCTCAAAAGAGGAGCAAAATTAGGTCTAGAATAAATGATGCTCTGGTCTCACCTAAAGAAAAACCTTAAAATCAAGACCCAGAAAGATCAAAGTGTGTCTAGATAACTTAATTGTTAGGACAAATCTCATGCATGTTTATAGGAATATACAAATATTCAGCACTCAACAAAGTAAAGCTGCCAATGTCTAGCATCCATTCAAAAATTATCCAGCATGCCTCTTCCTCAATCCATGTTTTCAGTTCTGATCCATCTGTTCCATATTATTTCCAGCTGTACCTTAGGTAGCAAATGTTAAATGTGTCTTTCCTCTCTGCCACTTTCTCTGAATTCTTAGCAGCTTTCACTAGGATTTTGAAACTGCATTCCTGTACCCAAAGACCTCTAGGCCTCACTTGGTTTCTCTCCACTCTCCTGCTAACATAGCCTGAAGCCACCTTTTAGAGAGGATACAAACAAAAACAAAAACCCAAAAACAAACCAAAAAAGGAATGTTGTAGGCCCCAGCAATTTCTTGGTGTAATTCATTTACTAAGAACTGCTCCTTTGGGGACGAATAATCCAGCTTGTCTGACAATTTCTATGTATTATATGCCACTCAGTACAAAGTGTAGTAGTTTAATGACAGGAAGATTTGTGTTGTGAGTAATCTGAGCAAATGTTCCTCAAAGCCACAAGAAGCTTAGGGTTTAAAGGCAAGAAATTTGGGAACGTTTTAAATGTGACTCATCCAGGTAAATAGGACCACAAATATAAAATTCAAAACACATGCTCTAAAAATATCCACATCTTCACATGAAGCATGCTCTCCTTATGTAATAAGGCATGTCTTTTAGATATTTTTCAGAAAGAATCTGATTTCATTCTTGAGAAAAGCTATTAAATTCTAAGATCTGTGCTTTGTGTGATCTCAGTCTCCTGACTAAAGCCTCAGGCAATAATAATATATCAAAAACAAAATCGGCATTGAAAAGATTTTAAAATAGAGGGAACTGCAATAATCTCTTCCTTCCTGGAGGCAGGTCTCTCAGGCTAGGGATGGAGTCACAGGATTCACCTAGAAACGCTTGGTATCCTTGGGATGTCCTCTTAGGTAAGAAAACAAACAAACATCCAAGTATTTGTCAGATTCCTACCACGTGCCAGATTCTGTGTTGTGTGCCAAAGGCTTGGAATAAAATGAAGCCACGCCCCAGCCTCGCAGTTAGTGATGCTCTTATTCAAGTGGTTTTGGTTTGGCTGCCTCTGACACTTTATTCCATGTTGCCTAATAGTTTTAAAAGCCCCTATTTTATAGTCAGTGCATCTTTCTGTGGGTCCCCAGAGAAGGGAAGACTGTGAGGTAAGGGAAATACAGTTTCTTCCCTCCTCCCTCTCTCTCCTCCTCCTTTCATGCCCTTCTGGGCTCTCTGACAAGGGCTGTTGTGGGCGGGGGAGCTCGCAGCGTTTGAGGCTTTAGTTTTAAATTCTGTTCAGGTTTTCCTCTAAGTACTGCTCTTCACTGTGTCTGCTCATAACTGAGTCTCCCCACTTTCCTGGCTCTGCTTATTCTTAGAGCTCAAAGGCCCCTAGGATCACTTCTTCTGCCCCAGCCAAACTCAGCTCTCCCCTCCATTTTGATGTACCAGAAACAACTTTCGGTCCACAAGAAACAGTGGGTTTGTTTGGCAAGTCCCAGGACACTGGGGTATGGCCTGGCAATCAGACCCTGCTGGGCTGGGCTGTGAGTGGCATGTGAATGTGAACGCTCCTACCATGAGCGGCATCAGGCTGTGTCCTGCTCCTTCCCCTTCTTTCCTTTGTATATAGTGATCCCTGTCCCTGGAACTCTTCTCTCATTCCTGCCTACTGCCTCTATTTTCACCTAGCCAACTCCTTTCTTCAAATGTTTCCTCCTATAGAAGTCTTTGGGGGTTAGGTAGTGTTATGGACTGAAATGTTTCCTCTGCTCCCAAATCCATATATTGAAATCCTAAACCCCAGTTTTCAGAATGTGGCTTTATTTAGAGATAGGTTCTTTTCAAAGGTAGTCAAGCTAAAATGAGGTCATTAAGGTGGGCTGTAATCCAACATGACTGGTGTCCTTATAAAAAGAGAAAAGTGAACACAGAGCCGTGCAGAGGAAAGATGATACAAGGAGACACAGGGAAAAGACAGCCATCAACAAGCCAAGGAGTGAGTCTCTCACAGCCCTCAGGAGGAGCTAGCTCTGCCAACACCTTGATCTTGGACTTCTAGCCTCTAGAACTGTAAGAAAATAAATGTCTGTTGTTTAAATCGCCCCACCCATGGTATTTTATTATGGCAGCCCGAGCTGTTGCACTTAGCCTCTCTGAGCTTCAGTTTCTTCATGTATTGACTAGGGGTGATAATTTCTATTTTATGGGTGGATGTGAGGATTGAATGAGATGATATATATGAACATCCCTGGATAGATGGCTGTTCTGTGCACAGGGACAGGCAGGGCATGTCTGCACAGCAAGTGGGGACTGAAGCCAATTTGGGACTTATTGATCATCAGGTGCCTATGGGACATCCAGGAAGACACTCTAGTAGCAATGGCACATACAGTGCTGGGTGAGTGCCAAATCCATGTCAACTGAATTCCTTTATTTTCCCTGTTCCCCATTTCTCTCTCCCTCATTTTCATATGTGTAATCCAACAAGGCTGATGTTCTCCACACCGCCTTTCCATCTCCACTCTTCTCTCTACTCCTTATAACCTGTCAGCACAAACAATAAAATGTGTATGTATCTATCTATCTGCCTCTATTACCTGGGAAGTCATTTACTTTATGAAAAAAATAAAGATTGGAAACCCATGGGGCTTATGGAGGATGTAGAGAATGTTTGAATGGAGCAGGGCTTCCTTTGTGTCACAAAGACGATAGTGGGTGGTATGGATGATTTGTGAGGTTTTTGATGGTACTTACCATGAGGAGACTTGGGGAGGCAAACCAACTCATTTATAAATATGAGCTACTTCCTTCGAACATTTTATACTGAGACATGTAGATAGAAATGCCTCAGGCATGAATTCTTGGCAATTTAGTTGCTTCTGGGTTTTAGAGAAACAAATTTAAGTGCATTAAATGATTATATCTGGGAAATTATACCATACTGCTTTGAAATTAAAAAAAGCTCTGTCATAAGCTCAACATGTGTAAGTATATGTAAATGCGTGTGTTTATGTGTGTGTGTGTGCGTGCACACACATACATGTGTATTTGTGTGTTTGAATAAGAAAGTAAACTGAGGGAGAGGAAGATACTTGATGTTCGTTTATATTCACTAGTCTTTTATCTCAAGCTGAAATCTTTTTTCTTTGGATACCTGTGGTTGTCTGATCACCACAGGTGTTAGTGAGAGCTAACAAAATGACCAGAGAGAAGAAATATAAAATTATACAGAGAAAAGCCCAGACTAGACTTTCAAATCTGACCCATTCCATGATGTATTGCCTTTCACAGAATTATGAGCCATAGCATGTCATAACCAGGAAGGACACCACTGTCACCTGGTTCAGCTCCCTCATTCCAAGGCAACGATGGGAGGAACAGAGAAACAAAGCGATCTGTCTAAATGACCCATGGAAAAGCAGTGGGGCAGCCCCATCCAAGCCTGGGCAGAATTTCATGCTGTGAGGCCACTGTGTAATCCACATGAGGATCTAGGTCAGAGGTGATGGGTTTATGAGAGGGCAACGCTTCAGTGTGGCATTTTAATTTATGAAATTGAAGCCTACTTTGCAGTAAGCAACTCACCAGCTGCTGAAGCAGGGCTCCAGTAGCATAGAAGGTGCCTTCATGACAAATTAGAAAAAGGCACCCCCTTCAGGCATATGACACAGGAGAGAGATATACCTTTCAGTAAAACAGGGAAATCTCCCTTCACTACCTCTGAGTAGGTGTCCATGGTTGGACACCATGCTTGGAAAGCAGAGAGCAGCCTGGATTTCAATCCCCACTGGTCCCTTGGCTGAGGGCTCTATTGCAGAACAACCTGCCCAACTGTGCCTGGCAGATCTTTGCAGAGCTGTACCCTCACTGTGGCTGAAGGAATGGGGAAGTCTTTGCATAGCTAGATGAGACCTGGGGTTCCTCTTTAAAAAACAATAATGTGTTATTGATACATTATCTTTGAACGTATTTGTGGGGTACATGTGAAATCTTGTTACATTCATAGAATGTGTAATGATCAAGTCATTGTATTTGGGCTATCCGTCCCCTCAAGTATTTATCATTCCTATGTGTTGGTAAGATTTCAATTCTTCTCTTCTAGCTATTTATTTTGAGATATACAATACATTGTTGTTAACTATAGTCACCCTCCTCTGCTGTTGAATATTAGAACTTATTCCTCCTCTCTGACTATATGTTTGTTCCCATTAACCAACCTCTCTTCATCCTCCCCCTGCCCCAACATACCCTTCCCAGTCTCTGATAGCTATCATTCCATTGTCTACCTTCATGCGATCAATTTTTTTTTAGCTCCCACATATTGATGAGAACACATGATATTTGTCTTTCTGTGCCTGCCTTATTTCACTTAACATAATGACCTCTGATTTCATCCATGTTGCTCCAAATGACAACATGGATGAATAAAAAGGATTTTATTCTTTTTTATGGCTGAATAGTATTCTATTGTGTGTATATATACCACATTTTCTTTATCTACTCATCTGTTGATGGACACTTAGGTTGACTCCATATCTTTGCTACTGTGAATAGTGCTGCCATAAATATGGGGGCACAGTTATCCTTTAGATACACTGATTTCCTTTCCTTTGGATAAATACCCAGTAGCGGAATTGCTGGAATTTTAGTTTTTTAAGAAATTTCCATACTGTTTTGCATAGTGGCTGTACTAATTTACATTCCCACCAACAGTGTATAAGAGTTCCCATTTCTCTGCATCCTCAGTAGCATCTGCTATTTTCTGTCTTTTTCATAATGGCTATTCTAATTGCGGTAAGATGATATCTCATTGTGGTTTTGATTTCCATATTCCTGATGATTGGTAATGTTGACCTTTTTTTTTTACCTATTGACCATTTGTATATCTCCTTTAGAAAAATGTCTATTCATGTCCTTTGCCCATTTCTTAATGAAATTATTTAATTTTTTTTTTTTTTTTTTACCATTGACTAGTTTGAGTTTCTTATCTGCTGGATATTAGTCCTCTGTTGGATGAATAGTTGGCAAATATTTTCTCTTTCACTCTGTTGATTGTCTCCTTCACTCTGTTGATTGTTTCCTTCACTGTGCAGAAAAGAAGCTTCTTAGTTTAATATAGTCCCATTTGTCTATTTTTTGTTTTCGTTGCCTGTGCTTTCGAGGTCTTAGCCATAAAATCTTTGCCTAGATCAGATCGAGACCATCCTGGCTAACACGGTGAAACCCTGTCTCTACTAAAAATACAAAAAATTAGCCGGGCGTGGTGGCGGGCGCCTGTAGTCCCAGCTACTCAGGAGGCAGGAGAATCGTGTGAACCCAGGAGGCAGAGGTTGCAGTGAGTCGAGATCGCGCCACTGCACTCCAGCCTGGGTGACAGAGCGAGACTCCATCTCAAAAAAACAACAAAAAAAAAAAACAAAAAAAAACTTTGCCTAGACCAATGTCCTGAAGTGTTTCCCCTGTGTTTTCTTCCAGTAGTTTTATACTTTCAGGTCTTATGTTTAAGTCTTTAATGCATATTGAGTTAATTTTTGCATAGGTGAGAGATGGGGTCTAGTTTTATTCTTCTGCGTATGGGTATCCAGTTTTCCCAGCACCATTTATTTAAAAGGGTGTCCTTTTCCAAGTGTATGTTCTGGATGCCTTTGTTGAAAATCAGTTGGCTGAAAATAATAGATTTGTTTCTGGGTTCTCTATTCTGCTCTGTTGGTCTATGTATCTGTTTTTTTATACCAATATTATGTTGTTTTGGTTACTATAGTCTTGTATTTTGAAGACAGGCAGTGTGATGCCTCCAGCTTTGTTCTTTTTGTTCAAAATTCCTTTGGTTATTTGGGCTCTTTTTTGGTTCCATACAAATTTTAAGATTGTTTTCCAATTTCTTTAAAACCTTGCTCTTTTGATAGGGATTGCATTGAATCTGTACATCGTTTTGGGTAGTATGATAATTTTAACAATATTAAATCTTCTGATCCATGAGCATGGGGTGTCTTTCCATTTGTTGGTGTCCTCTTCGATTTCTTTCATCAAGTTTTGAAGTTTTTCTTGTAAAGGTCTTTTACCTCCTTGGTTAAATTTATTCCTAGACATGTTGTTGTTATTGCTATTTTTTTGTAGTTAGTGTAAATAGAATTGCTTTCCTGTTCTTTTTACGTATTTCATTATTGGTATATAAAAACACTACTGGCTTTTGCATGCTGATATTTTGTCCTACAATTTTACTAAATTAGTTTACCAGTTCTAAAAGAGCTTTTTTTGGTGGAGTCTTTTGTTTTTCCAGATATAAGATCATATTATCAACAAAGAAGAACAGTTTTACTTTCTCTTTTCCAATTTGGATGCCTTTTATCTTTTTCTCTTGCCTGATTGCTCTGGCTAGGACTTCCAGTACTATGTTGAAAAGAAGTGGTGAGAATGAACATTTTTTTCTTGTTCCAGTTCTTAGAGAAAAGGCTTTCGACTTTTTCACATTCAGTATGATGTTAGCTGTGGGTTTGTCGTATGTGGCATTTATTATGTTAAGGTATGTTTCTTTTATGCTCAGTTTGCTGAGAGTTTTTATCATAAGGGATGTTAAATTTTATCAAATGCTTCTTCTACATCTATTAAGATGGTCCTGTGGTTTAGTTGTTCATTCTATTGATATGATATATCACATTTGTTGATTTCTATGTGTTGAACCATCCGTGTATCCCTTGTATAAATCTCATTTGACCATGTTGTATTATTGTTTTATATGCTGTTGGATTCAGTTTGCTGGTATTTTGTTAGAGGATTTTTGGGTCTATGTTCATCAGAGATTTGGGTCTGTAATTTGTTTTTTTGTTGTTGCATCCTTGTCTGTTTTCGGAATAAGGATAATGCTGGCCTCATAGAATGAGTTAGGGAGAATTCCCTTCCCTTTAATTTGTTTAAATAGTTTGAAGAAAATTAGTGTTAGTTCTTTATACATTTGGTAGAATTTAGTAGGGGAGCCATCCAGTTTGGGACTTTTCTTTGTTGGGAGACTTTATTACTGATTCAATCTCACTACCTGTTACTGGATACCTGGGCTTCTTAAGCTGCTTCACCATCTCTTCCTGCCTCCTTCCTGTCTCCTCTTTTACTTCTTCTTCTTCTTTTTTTCTCACCACTTGGTAAAGTGGCTGGTATGGCACCAATAGGACACAAAGATGCTATTTTAGAATAACATACGGAGACTAATATACTTTACCTAGCCTTGCAAGATTACTGGCTCAGGAGAAGCCACACCAGGGTTCCCCACTTCTCCCCTGTGTTTATGCAGATGGGATGCGAGCCACTTGCAGGCCTGGCCTATAAAAGATTCCCATACATGCTTTCCATTCTCAGCTCCCTTTCCAACTGACTGGGATCTCAATGCCCATGGAGCCCTTGGAGGCCACATACTGAACACAGACAAGTCTCCTTCAGTCAGAGTCTCTGAAAGACCGTGTCAGGGAGAGCTGCTCCACCAACCTTGTAGCAAAAAATGTGTTTTTATTATGTTAAGCCACTAGAATTTTGAGGTCTATTTGTTTCTACAAGTTAATGCAATCCACTTAGCAGATGGCTGCATGGCCCATAAAAGAGATGATGAGGATTTGGTTCAGGGATGAGGCCACAGGGAATAAAAATGCAAAGATAAACTGTGGCTCAAGCCATACAAGCTTTCCTCACATTGCTCAGAGGAATGGAGAGGAGTTAAAGGAGTCCATTGGAGTTGAATGAAAGCTCTACTGCCTGGAAGGAACTCCTGCAAGCAGGTAGCCAAATAGATGATGAAGCTGATGGTGGAGGTGTCAGTCAGGAAAAGTAGTAGCCATGGCAACAGACTTGGTAGAAAGGCCACCAAGAGGCAGTACAGAGCAATTTGGCCGGGACAAAACAGCAGGAAGATATCAATAACAGAGATGGAAACTGTTGGGACTCGGGAAGGCAGAGGTGGAGGCCCTGGGTTTAGCTCAGGGGGTTTGTGCTGTCTTTCTCCTTGCCTCGCTCTCCCTGCCATAACACACTGAAGAGAGTGTTCAGAAGCCCAAGCTACAGAGGGAGAGAGGAGGATGAATAGGTCTGGAAGAAGGAATTTGCTTGAGTTCTTTCCTCTTCCACTTTTCCTGTCCTTTTCTTCAACACTTATCACAGATCCTCCCTGGTTGCTTCCAAGCAGAATAGAGCCCAGGCTGCCATGCTAAACACGACTAAAACATTCCAGAGATGTCATCAAGCCCCAAACACTTGCTAGCAACACATTTTAAGAGTGTATGTGGTATGGGGGCGGAGTAAAAGAATTTATTAGGGGGATAACTAATGATTTTGGCGGGTCTCAAAGATAATTGTTTTGAGCTGTTATTTATCCTGTTTTACCTCTGCCCGCCTTTTCCCATCCTACCCCAATTCTCAAATCCTTTACTAAGTGTTTAAGAGATGCAAATGCCCTTCCCCCCTTCCCTATCCTGCTTTCTTTTGCTGTCAGAGTCTCTATTTTTACTTCTATTTTTTCCCCCAGATTTCAATGCAGCAAACCCTGTGAAAACCTAATCAAACTTTTTATTAAATATGAAGATTCAGAGCAGAATGGAGCTGAATGGATGCTGGGCAGAGGGTCAGTTTTACTTTAGTAGAGCATCTTTTTGATGTGCTGGTAAAGACACGACATTTATCAAAGAATAATTTTCCCAAAAAGGGGCAAAATCATGACTCTCATAGAGATAAAATGAACATGTGCTAAAGATTTTATTCGACTCATTGATTAAGTGACTGAACCAGGTAAATATTATAACTGCTTAAAGGAGAAGTGAAAGAAGCAAAAATATATACTCCAGTTTTATGGCAGTATATATTTTTATATTATTTTATTGAATAAAGGAATATGAAAATGAATGTGAAAATGAATGCAAAACTGACTTTTTCTTGGAGTGAGGAAGAGGTTGTCCCTTCCTCGGACTTAATTTATTTACTTATCTATAAACAAGAATTATTTTGTGTTGCTATCAGTTATGTACAACTTATAGTCCGAAATAGTGCCCATGGAATTAGAAGTAGACAACCCCAGATAAGTGTGCTTTAGAAAAGGCACAGTTTTTTACTGAAGTATACATTTTTTTCCTTATACATTTAGACTAAATGCTCCTGGTGTGGAAACTCACTCACTAACTTCTCCCATGGGTGGCCTGGACTACCTCAGAGAAAGTGGATTACAATGAGCATCTTAAATATATAACAATCCAGGCTGAATTAATAATAATTTAGCTTCAGTAGTATACAAAAACTCTGCTCCTAATCAGCCCCATCCTCCTTATGTTGTTATTATCACATATTACATTTTTGTACAATGTGTCAAGAAGGAAACTTGGGTCTAATTGCAGTTTGCCTTCCAATTGCCACACAAATAACTCAAATTGGAACTTGACCCTATCTAATTTTCATGAAAGGGCATTAAACTGTGTCTCATGATGAGTTAAAAAAAAAAAAAAAAAAAGACAAGTCTGGATTTGGCAGTTGTAGAAAGATTTAGGAAGCCCATGACCTAGTTCCAGCTTTCTGGCCAAAGGGGTGTGTAATCTCTGAGCCTCACTTTTCTTATCTCCAAGATG
The DNA here is from genome assembly GCF_000001405.40 of Homo sapiens. NCBI lineage: Eukaryota > Metazoa > Chordata > Mammalia > Primates > Hominidae > Homo > Homo sapiens. The sequence goes on along the minus strand of NC_000003.12, from coordinate 170,732,855 downwards.
GAGAAAGGGCAGACAGATAGCCTCAAAAGTTCCTTTTCATTCTCAGTTCCTGTGATTCTACTTATCATATCAATAGGATGTTTTCTGTTTTATATTACTGTGTGGGTTAATTTTATTTGTCAACTTGGCTGGGCCATGGTGCCCAGGTGTTTGGTCAAATATTGTTCTGGATGTTTCTGTGAATATAATTTTTGGATGATATTAACATTTAAATCAGTGGATTTTGAATAAATCAGATTACCATCCATAATGTGAGCGGGCCTTATTGAATTAATTGAAGGCCTTAACAGAACAAAGACTAACCTCTCCTGAGCAAGGAGGAATTCTGCCAGAAGACTGCCTTTGAACTTGAACCATAACTTTCCCGAGTCTCCAGCCCACTGGCTTAGCAAATCAGATTTTGGATTTGCCAACCCTCCACAGTACATAATGTGAGCCCGTTCCTTACAATGGATTACACACACATACACACACATGCATATTCTGTTGGTTCTGTTTCTCTGGAGAACCCTGACGAATACAATTGTTGTTTCAACAACAGAGAGTTGTTGAAAATAGATTCCTCTACGCTCTTCTGAAATCTGACAAAACCCATGATCTTCTGCCCATCTGAAGAGAAGAACAAAATTTTGCATATGATGTCTATTCAAAGGACCTTTCAGACTTCTTTGATAAAATCCAATATATTCATTGAGTAGGAAAAAGAAAAGAGCATTCTTGAAAGTGATAGCTTGATTCTCTGATCTATGACCTCTCATTTTTTGACACCAATTGAAGGGGACTGACCCAGAGGATCATGAGCCTATAATTTCCTTCCCAACTTCTCAGTGAAGTCTGGCATTCCTAGGAGCTAAAAAGGTAGGGTTATTAACCTTAGTTTTCACTACCATGATCCTTGATCTTTCTCTTATCCCATCTGAGACAGGATGGAGATTATTAAGTTTGAAAGCATCCATTTGACTTATAGATTTATTAAGGCCCAGGGGTAACCGGATGGGATGAAACTGAGGAAGCAGATTGGGAATCAAGTGGCCCATTCCATACTGGCAACACATCAAGATCATTTAAGTAATGATACTAAGTGCATCAATGATTTATTATGGAGCAAGAAATTTCCCAGCACTGCTCTTTTAAGTATAAGGCATGTCATGATGATATTGAGCTCCTGCAACGTGCTAGACTCTATTCAATATCATACAACATTCTTGTATCTGTTCTTATCTTTTTTTGTCTCTTTTTCTTGTTTAAACAAATACAATTAAAGGGATAGTAGAATCAAGTGGCTCACTAAAGACCACAAAGCTGGTAAGGAGCAGAGACAAAAATCTAAGCCAGATTTGCTGACTGTAAGGTTCCCTGTCTTTCCACTGCATCACAGCTCTGCTCCTGTGGCCTACCCTCTCTGCTCCCCTCCTACTGTGTGGCCATAAACAAGAGCTTCACACAGAATGCCAAATGAGAGATGATGCTGCAGGGAAAATGAAGGAAAAGAAACAGCACTTCTTAAAGCAGCTATCATTGGCAAGGGAAGCAGTGTTCCTGTGAAAACATGGTATCCAAAATGCTTTTATTGGTGGGAAGGTAGGAATCTCACACACAGACACACACACACAATGGGTAGGGTCTATATTGCAGAACCAAGAGGATAATCTTCACGACTGTTGTGACTGAAGAAGAGTGCTAACAGATTTCTCCACATGGTTTGCTGCATATGCCTGCTATAGAAAAGACTTATAATTTCACACTAAGGGTAAGCTTGATGGTGAATATGTACATTTTTAGTAATTCGATTGAGTTTATTAAACATGTATTATGGTCAAGACTCTGACCCCAAAGAGGCTGGAGAGGGGCCCCAGGAAAAGGAATCCCTAGTCTCTGCCCTTCATAGCTTTTTTTTTTTTTTTTTAAGATGGAGACTTGTTCTGTCGCCCAGGCTGGAATGCAGTGGTGCAATTTCAGCTTGCTGCAACCTCCAGCTCCTGGGTTTAAGCAATTCTCCTGTCTCAGCCTCCAGAGTAGCTGGGATTATGGGCCCCTGCCACAGTCACCACCCGGCTAATTGTTTTGTATTTTTAGTGATATGGGGTTTCACCATGTTCACCAGGCTGGTTTTGAACTCCTGACCTCAAGTGATCCACCCGCCTTGGCCTCCCAACCTTCAGTAGCTTTTTATCCAGACTTACCAATAAAGAACTTACCAAGGAAGTTACCAGACTGACCAAGTAAGATTGAATTAGAGCTGGATGTACAGCCAGTCTGCCCCATTTGCTCCAAAGGAGGAGTGCTTAATTTCAACTGGAGAGTTGGGAAAGGCTTTATAAAGTAGGCAGAATGTGAACTGGACCTTGCAGGCAGAGAGCCACTCTGTTTGGCAGAAAATGAAGGGAATTTCATTTCCAGCATAGGAAACAGACATGAAAGTGTGGCATCATGTGTTTAGGGAGAAAGGAGACCATTCAATGTGGCCAGAGCACAGACAAGATAAGGAATGGTGGGAGACGAGGCCAGCTGTGTTTTACGCTAAGATAAGGAGTGTGCTGTAGATTTTTATTATGCTTCCCAGTGCTTCACTTTTCCTTCCTGTGAGAGAATTACACATCTCCAGTCATTGCCATTGGACTGTTAGTGCCCACCATGAGAGGAGTACACATTTCTGCCCCACTGACATGGGACTCACTCATGTGACCTGTGAACAGATGCCTTCAGGCCACTCCCTGTTGACAACAGCTCTCTAGCTTTTTTCCCTTTGCCACCAGAATGGCTTATTCCATAGAGGAGCTGCTCCTCCAGCTGAGTTCTGGAATGAATGTTATCCATGGAGCAGCCCCACAGTTGACCCCACAATGACCTATAACTAACATGTAACGTGATAAAAAGTAAACCTTTGTTGTAAGTAACCGAAATTTTAGGGTTGTTTGTTGCCCCCAGCAAAGTTGACTAATAAATGTTTTTTACTTTATTATCAAAAGCAATGGATTTTGTAAAAAAAAAAAAAAAGAGAGAAGAAAAAAAAATTTTTTCCTTCTCTCCTTTCTGGCAGTCTCATGAATTTCAGTGCCGAACAAAACTTCATTTTAAATTTCCAACTGTGCTCAGATTCAATTGCTTTTTCCATATCAGGCATTCTGGAGGAATAGAATAACAATTAATTTATACTCACTTTTTGTAGCCACTGGATCAGATTCACCTGGAATTCATGTAAATCTAATAAATAGCACAGTGGGCGTCCAGTGCTTTGTAGCTGATGGCAGCAGATACATCACTTCCTTCCAATTGTTGAGGATATATAGCCAATTTGCCAGATAGGAATAAAGATTTCAATTTAAACACAAAGTTTATTTTTCAGAGATGGAATATTCCATTCAGGCTCAGCAAAGAAATAAGTAGACAGATGTTTCATGCTGAGGGGAACACCAGGGAAATGGCTTGGTCATGCTGGCCATGATGCTGAAAGCTCGTGCTGCCACCAATTTAAGTAAGTTCAAGGAGGCTTAACCTTCCTGGGGTTGATGAGAAAAAATTGAGAATACATTTTGTTATTATTTATATTATTTATGTATCACTGAGTTGAGCACTACCAAAGGTCACCATTCAGGTAGTATGGGAGGGAGCATGCCAGGTGGAGAGTACAGAGACTTAAATAGTATTAGGAATGGTGATGATAATGATGATAAGATATAAAAAGAGAAAGAAAATGGGCCTGGAGTCAGCTAAAACTCAATTACAAGAATGGCTTACAACTTACTAACTAAAGGTTTTATGGGAAAGCTGCTTTTAAAAAAATCTCTAAAACATAGTTTCCTCATTTCTCACATGGAAATAATAATACCTCTCTATTATAGTCATTATGAGGATAATATGAGATAATGAATGTAAAGTATTTGACATGTAGTAAGTGCTCAATAAATGTTGTTGGAGTTCTTTTTCTTCAGCTTTTTAACATCCTCCCTCACATGAATGCTTTTTCCTAACCCTGTTCAAAAGCCCATTCATCCTATAGTGCCTGGACTTACCAGCTCATCAAAGCCTTCTCTGACTCCAGTCTGTGATACTCTACCTTCTCTGAAACAGCAGTAATGGCCATAGGTGTTCATTATTTTGAATTCATTCACTCATTAATTCATTCATTCACCAAATATTTCCTGAGTACCTACTCTGTACCAGGCACTATTCAAGGTTCTGGAAATACAGCCGTGAACACAATATCCTTTCTCACCAAGCTTACGGTATAGTGAGGAGAGAGGGGAATAAACAAATAACAAGATGTAGCAAATCAAATAATGATTAAGTACGATGAAGAAAAATAAAATAGGGCAAGAAGAAAAGGGAGCGCCAGGGTGGGAGAGATAGGATTTCGTGTCAAGGCAGAGGGTCAAGAAAGGCCTCACTGAGGGGACACTGGAGTAGAAGGAGTGAGCCATGGGGAACCTGTGTGATAAAATCTCAGGGTAAAGGATCTAACCCATGCAAAGGCCCTGAGGCAAGCCTGACATGTTCTAGGAAGGACACCAGTGTGGCTGAGCAGAGTGAGCCAGAGAGGGAGTGGTGGGAGATGAAGACAGAAAGGTAGGATCCAGCAGGTGATGAAGAGGATTTTGATTTTTAAACTGAGAGAGTCAGGAAGCCATGGGAGGGTTTTGAGGAAAAAAGTCACATTATTTTACTTAGATTTTTAAAAAAAAAAAAAAAAGGTTCACTCCATCTGCTGGGTTGAAAATAGACTTCAGAGGAATAAGGAGAGAAGGAAAAACAAAGTTAAGGGATTTTTGCAATAAGAAGTGAGAGATAATGGCAGCTTAGAAGAGATAGTAGTAATGGAGGTGTTGGAAAGTGGTCAGAGTTTGGTTATATTTTGAAGAAGGAATTTCAAAAAAATTATCTGATGTGGTGCGACAAGAAAGAAAGGAGTCAAGGATGACTCCAAGGATTTTTGTCTGAACAACTGAGAAGATTCAGAAGATAGGAGTAGGAGGAGTTTTTGAGTAGGGGGAGAATCTTGTGTTCATTTTGGCATCTGTTGACTTTGAGATGTCTGTTAGATAGCCAAGTGGAGACTGAGTAGGCAGCCGGACATGAGTCTGGTCTTCAAGGGGCGAAATCTAGGCTTGAAATATGAATTCGGGGATGAAATAAGTAAATAAAATTTAAAGCTATGATCCTGGAGAAATCAGTGAAAGAGTGATTCCTGGGGCACTCCAGTGGGCAGGGCTTGGGAAGATAAGGAGGACAAGGAAAAGATACTGAGATGGAGCAACCAGTGAGGAGAAATGAGGGTGATGCCTCAGAAGCCAAGCAAAGAAAGCATTTGAAGAAGGAAGTAAGCAATGGTGTAAAATGCTGCCAATAAATTCAATAAGATAAAGACTGAGAATTGGCTATTGGATTTGATCATGTGGAGGTCACTGGAGATATTGATAAAAGCAGTTTTCAGGGAGCAATTTTGAGAGTGAAAGATTATAAGGAGAGGAATTGGAAGTAGTGGGCTTAAAAGTCTTGTTCAAGGAGATTTGCCGTAAAGGGAGCAGTAACTACAGGGAAAGTTGGGTCAAGGAAGGTTTTCTCTGTGAGACGGGTGGTGATTCAGCATGTTTCTATGCTGCTGGCAGTGACTCAATAGAAAAAGAAATATTCTTGAGCAGGAAAGAGAACAGATAATTGCTGGAAATAAGTTTGTGGATAGGAAAAAAGGATGGGATCAAGTGCACAGTGTAAAATTTGGCTTCAGATAGAAACCCAAACAGATCATCCACAACATCAGGAAAGAAGGCAGGACATAGATGGACAGACAGTCAGTTGGGAGAAGTGGGAGTTGGGAGAATAGGGAAGGTCTCTTTTGAGAGCTTCTATCTCCACCAACCCTACCCACACCCTCCTCCACCACCACCACAAGCCAGTGAATTAGGAAAAGGTAAAAAGTTGGAGGAGGTGCTGGAGATTTGAAGAGAGACAAGAAAAGGTACAGTGGTTATAGGAAAGTAGAGGATTGAATGGACTGATCAGGACAATGACGAAACCTTGCCAGCAGCTGTATGGGCCCACTGTGGTTATTAGTCATGAGTTTAAAATGAGATTTGTCAGTGTGGTTGTGGGGATTTTCTCCAGCCACAATCAGCTGTGGGGGTGCAGGGTGTAGAAGAGGAGGGAAACTGGATTTAACCAGGGTTTTACCAAGCAGACGTGATGAATGAAAGGAAGGAAAAGGTACTGGAGGGTGAATGAGTGAGCAGTTTTTAATAATGGACCATAGAATGTAAGCTGAGTCTAGAGGGAACTGAAGATTTTATGGGAGTGAGGGATGGTGAATGGATGGAGCATAGGTCCTAGTGAGGATGAAGAATTTTTGGAGTTGGAGTATCGAGGAATGGCATGGAAAGAAGAGATCAGTAGGTCTAAGAGTGGATGCATGAAATGACCAAGTCTGGGGTATAATTATCGGGTAAGTGACTGAGGCGAAGCAGAGGATAAGATCATTAATCATCATTACCTGGGTCTTATGTCCCCAGTAAGTACTTAGAGGAGAAGAACCATATCTTAAAAGTCTGTACCTTTCTCCTCAAGCATCTAGCACAGTGCAATGGGTTTCACAAGGGCTTTGTTAATTTTTGAGACAGAGTCTCCCTCTGTTGCCCAGGCTGGAGTGCCCTGGTGCAATCTTGGCTCACTTCAAGCTCCGCCTCCTGGGTTCATGCCATTCTCCTGCCTCAGCCTCCCAAGTAGCTGGGACTACAGCCACCCACCACTACACCCGGCTAATTTTTTTGTATGTATTTATTTATTTTTAATAGAGACAGGGTTTCACTGTGTTAACCAGGATGATCTCGATCTCCTGACCTCGTGATCAGCCCACCTCAGCCTCCCAAAGTGCTGGGATTACAGGCGTGAGCCACCGCGCCTGGCCTGGGCTTTGTTCATTTTTATAAGTTGATATTGAATGAAAAGTTTAACATCAACTTATAAACATTGAGGAATTTTAAAAATTGGGACAATGAGACTCAAATTTTCTACTACAAACTACTATTTTCTGCATCACCCCGTCACCCAAATTATTGCCAAGCTTTCGGGATCAACTAAAGGGGATTCCTGGCCTTACAGATATTAAAGTAATGATTTCAATTATTCAAAGCCAACCACAGAGTTCCATGGCAGGAGGTCATTTGTAACTTGTGAAAGCATGAACTTGGACTTCATGGCTTTAAGCCTTAGCTGGTGAGTAAGACTAGCCAATCAGCTACTTACCCTCTGTATCTCAGTGTGGCCATGTTATTTTACAGTTATTATCAGATCTGCAGACACTCTCTAAAGAGAAGAAAACATTATATGTAAAATTGCCTGAAAATCAAAGTGGTACTTTCATTAGGGCATCCATAGAGGGCTCTGCATAGAAACCTCAAAACGTAAAAACAACCAAATTTCACAACCGGTTTATTTAAATGGGCTCATTGCTTTAATCTGTATTTCAACATGTTGCTAAATACTCAGGCCAAAAAGTACTAAGCACTTGGAAGGGGTGGAGGTTGGGGGGAATTATCTTCAGCTCATTAGTGGCAAGCTCAGGGAAACAACAGAAAAAAATCTTTTGGGGTCATGGGCTGGGAGAATGAAAATAAACCAAGGTTTTTAAAATAAATAAATACTATCTTGTCAAATAAAACATACAGCCATAACTTGCAGGGGAGGAATAATTGGAAGGCTGAGGCTTATAGTAATCAATCAAACCTGATCACACAGCAGCTTTGGCAAGGAAGAGAAATAGGGGCTTTAGTTAATGTCTTGGCAAGAGCCTGCTTCCTTTCCACTTGACCTGGCCAGAGAGACAAGGTGTCCAGAGGTGTCAGACATAATGTTAGCTACCACCCCCACCCCCATGTGGTCCCTCGCAGTCCACAAATCTTGCTGACTGAGTTCTCATAACCATCCTATGTGGTAAGTATTAGTGTCTCATTTTGAGGATGTAAGTGGAGGCTGAGGGACCAGGCAATCTGCTTAAGAACATCCAGCTTGTATGTGGCAAAGTAGTGATTCAAACCACATCTTCTGGGTCCAGGCCAAGCTGTTTTCACACTCCAGCCAGCCCTGTGTCCATGAGTGTCTAACCTAAGGAGTATTTGTCCTAGTTTATTTAGGGTGCATTTCAATCAGGATTACCATTTGGGAGGGAAGCACATGCCAGCATGAGTTGCTCAGCCTAGCATTCAAGAGGACTGAGTCTTCCTTCATGATGTCTCATGTATGTTTCTTCCCCTTTTTCTTCTCACTGCCCTTCTTTACCTCATGCTGGGATATTGTGTCTAAGCTGAACATTCTGCCACTTTCACTTCTTTCCTCCAAACCAGTTCTTGTATTAATATAGACTAATTTTCCTAAGATACCAGCTTCATTACTTATTTTAAAATGTTTGCTGGCTGCTGTTCTCAGGATCAGGTATAAACTCCTTAGCTTGGTGTTCAACTCCTCTGCAATTTGGTCCCTAGTTATTTTGTAATTTTATGTCCCCCTTTCTGCCCTTTGACAGCCCAGAATGAGCATATTTCCCAATCCGAACCCTCATGTCCTGTGTTCACTTTGAATGCAGTGCCCTCGTCTCTCTTCTACACCTATATTTTCTACTTTTACTCTTTCAAAGCTAAGGTCCATTCTTACCACCTCATGGCCTTCCCCCAACATTTCAGCATATGGTGATTCTTCCAGGGCTAGTATGTTCTGTTTATCCCTCCAGGTCTGCTCTCCATCCTCTCCTCCCCGCTACCCAGGAAGCTGAGCAGCATCGACTGTCTCCCTCACTCCCCAAATACTGAACTCTCTCTCTGGTTTTCTACCACTCAACACCCACCTTTGTAAATAACTTTTTAAACAATTAAGCTCTCCTCAAATTACCCAATTTGAATCTGCCATCTGCTTCCTGCCAGGACTCTGACTGATATCTCTCCATTCCTCTGTATGTTCACAGGCCTTATTTATTGCTCTAAGTCTTCATGTACCATATCAAAGTCTGCTTTGAATTAATAGCTATTTTTCTCTGTGATTACATATTCCCAACCTGACTAAAGTTTCCTAAAGGCAAGGAATATGTATTACACTTTTATGTATGCTTCAATATTTTCCTCACCGCCTCCTACCCCAATAATACTTAGCACAATATACTAAGCAGTTAATAAGGACATTACAGGTCAATGTTCAAGGATAATGCTAAGAAGAGGGGGTGTGGGAATCAAACTAGAAAAACCTTCAAGTCTTCACCATTTTCTTTATTTCAAAAATGAATAAGGCTTAATTTTCTTATTTACTATTTGTAAAATGGGGATTAGGTACTTGCTCTTTCTACCTCACAGGAATGAAGAAAGAATTAAATCATGCAAAGCATGTAAAAGTAGTTTGCAAACTATAAAACATTGTGCTTTTTAAATGTAAATGATTATTACTTTTAGCAAGTTAATAGCTAACCAGCTATAAAGGCTAGTGTTTCAAATGATTGATGAGAGAGGCAAACTTCCAAAGGAATGAATGCACGATTAGGCCATGAAATTTGAAAAAGTAGTAAGGAAAACACTTGAAAGTTTAAAGAATTTTCAATGAACAAAGCATTTGGACATCTTCTATTATCTTGTGTTCCTATTTTAAAAACATTTAAATTGGTTAGAAAAAGCAGGCCAGTTTAAAGCCTTAACAAACACACACTTGAAAGCATCCAATTACAAGGATAATAGGTAATTGAGTGGTGGCGGGAATTGATGATTTACAAGTCTTGCTCAAAATTAAGCAAGTTCTTTTTTTGTGTTTTTTGTTTGTTTGTTTGAGACAGAGTCTCCCTCTGTCGCCCAGGCTGGAGTGCAGTGGCATGATTTCGGCTCACTGCAAGCTCTGCCTCCCAGGTTCACGCCATTCCCCTGCCTCAGCCCCGCCGAGTAGCTGGGACTACAGGAACCCGCCACCACGCCCGGCTAATTTTTTTGTATTTTTAGTAGAGGCGGGGTTTCTCTATGTTAGTCACGATGGTCTCGATCTCCTGACCTCGTGATCCACCTGCCTCCCAAAGTGCTGGGATTACAGGTGTGAGCCACCGCGCCCCGCCAAGCAAATTCTTATAATAACTCAAAGACATCTCCACTGGCCTCAGTTTACATACCTCCTGGCTAGTGGAAGACAGCTACATTGAATGCTACCAACTTTAAGGATCTGACAACAAACCTTCTGTACCTTAGAAATGGCTTCTAAAAGATCTGGAAAACAATTTTCCAGGAATTAAGGAAGCAACCAAAGTTATTGTAAAAGGTACACCTATTTTCCACAACATTGATGAAGAATTAAATAATCAATATAAAATACCTAGCTCAGTGCCTGATGCTGACATCATTCAGTGGGGGTAGCTCCCTTCTCCCTTATATTCAGATGCATATACATCATATATAATTATATTAAACATGCAGAGTTATAAATAAAAATTATACATAGGCTTAATTATAAATATATTGCATATGTTAAATGTATAGCAACATAATACAGATTGTGCTTTTGGAAACTTAACTGAGAACAAAATCTACATGCTTTTAATTATAGTAAATATGCCATGCATTAAGGAAAATTAACATTTCTCAAAATTCATATGCAAGAGAGTTGCTGCCTAAGACAATTTGCTGGAAAATGAATTGTGATCTGTACAGTGTCTTTGTGCTTGTTGTGAATTGCAGATATGGGAGTGTTCTGAGTATTTATTTTATGAACTTGTCCTAGGCATTATAATTACTTGTAAACTCAATCTCTATAGACCTTATAAAGAAGCTTTAAGAAAAAAGATCATTGAATCAGTTGACAAGAAATGAGAATTATAGATAACCAGCTAAAAGGTATCTTTATATTCTTGTAAACATCTCACGAATAATGGGAAATTGAGGAAGGCATCAGACTAAATCCATCTACAGGCTAGATTTGAGTGAATTAGGGTTTTTCAGGTTTCCTCCATCTCTTCTGCTTTTTCTTCCTGCTTTTCTTATTCCTCTGCTACTTTGTTTCTTAGGCTCTGCTTCCCTGCATTTGGGAACAGTTGCCAACCAGTAGAGCATTTCTGTTGGGCTGAGCTCTAGCACCAGGTCAGCACCAGCATAGACATGACTGACTTTTGGTTCAGGTGCTGCTCCAGGCTCTGCTCCAAGCAAATGTGGCCAGATATTTGGTATTATGTAATACCTGTGTCTGAGAAATTCTCAAAGTGGCCTGGAGACATGGTTAGCACCAGTGTAACTCACAGAATATAAGCACTCCAGGAAAATCATCTTTTTTAAAAATTATCTTTAATTTCACATTGCAGGTGCATATATCTATGGGGTACAAGAGATACTTTGATACAGGCATGCAATGCATAATAATCATGTCAGGGTAAATGGGCATCACCTCAAGCATATATCATTTGTAATACAAACAATCCAATGATACTCTTTTAGTTACTTTAAATAGAGATGGGGTCTCACTGTGTTGCCCGGACTGGTCTCAAACTCCTGAGTTCAAGCAATCCTCCTACTTTGGTCTCCCAAAGTGCTGGGATTACAGGTGTGAGCCACTGCACCTGGCAATACTCTTTTAGTTACTTGAAAATGTAAAATTAAACTGTTATTGATCGTAGTCACTATGTTGTGCTATCAAATATTAGGTCTTATTCATTCTTTCTAACTATATTTTTGTTTCCATTACCCATTCCGACTTCCCCTTCCCCTCACCCCGCCACTACTCTTCCCAGCCCCTGGTAACCATCATTCTATTCTCTGTTTCCATGAGTTCAATTTTTAAATTTTTAGCTCCCACAAATAAGTGAGAGCATGCAAATTTGTCTTTCTGTGCTTGGCTTATTTTACTTAACATAATGACCGCCAATTCCGTCCATGTTGTTACACGTGACAAGATCTCACTCATTTTTACAGCTGAATAGTACTCCATTGTTTATAAGTACCACATTTTCTTTAACTATTCATCTGTTGAGGGACACATAGGTTGCTTCCAAATCTTGGCTATTGTGAATAGTGCTGCAATAAACATAGGAGTGCACATATCTCTTTGATATATAGATTTCCTTTCTTCTGGGTATATACCTATCAGTGGGGTTGCTGGATTATATGGTAGCTCTATTTTTAGTTTTTTGAGGAACCTTCAAACTGTTCTCCATACTGGTTGTACTATTTACATTCCCACCAATTTCTCCAAATCCTCACCAGCATTTATTATTGCTTGTCTTTTGGATAAAAGCCATTTTAACTGTGGTGAGATGATATCTCATTGTAGTTTTGATTTGCATTTCTCTGATAATGATGTTGAGCACCTTTTCATATATCTGCTTTCCATTTGTATGTCTTCTTTTGAGAAATGTCTGTTCAGAACTTTGGCTCATTTTTTAACCAGATTATTAGATTTTTTCCTATAGAGTTGTTTGAGTTCCATATATATTGTGGTTATTAATCCCTTGCCAGATGGGTAGTTTGCAAATATCTTCTCCCCTTCTGTGGGTTGTCTCTTCACGTTGTTGTTTGCGTCCTTTGCTGTGCCGAAGCTCTTTAACTTGATGTGACCCCATTTGTCCATGTTTGCCTTGGTTGCCTGTGCTTGTGGGATATCGCTCAAGAAATCTTTGCCCAGTCCAATGTCTCAGAGAGTTTCCCTAATTTTTTCAGTTGTTCTATAGTCTCAGGTCTTAGATTTAAGTCTTTAATCCATTTTTATTTGACTTTTTATATGGAGAGAGGTAGGGGCCTAGTTTCATTCCTTTGTTTATGGATATCCAGTTTTCCCAAACCTATTTATTGAAGAGACTGTCCTTTCCTCAATGTATGTTCTTGGACCCTTTGTTGAACCCTTTGTTGAAAATGAGGTCACTGTAGGTGTGTGAATTTGTTTCTGGGTTCTCTATTCTGTTTCATTGGTCTATGTGTCTGTTTTTATGCCAGTGCCATGTTATTTTGGTTACTACAGCTCTGTAGTATAATTTTAAGTCAGGTAATGTGATTCCTCTAGTTATGCTATTTTTGCTCAGGAAAGCTTGGGCTATTCTGGGTGTTTTGTGGTTCCATATAAATTTTAGGATTGTTTTTTCTACTTCTGTTAAGAATGTCATTGGTATTTTCATAGGGATTTCACTGAATCTGTAGATTGCTTTGGGTAGTATGGACATTTTAACAATATTGATTCTTTCAATTCATGGACAAGGAATATCTTTCAATTTTTTTGTGTCCTCTTCAATTTCTTTCATCAATGTTTTCTAGTTTCCATTGTAGAGATCTTTCCAGGAAAATCATTTTGAGGTCACTTCTAAATCTAAGATTCTATGACTACCAATTCAGAATGAGATTCAATTAATATGTGTTGGATGACTATTGCATGCCAGCTGTTCCCACATATACAGTCTCATTTATTTCTTACAAAAAATACCACAGTACAGTTTTACCATAGTTTATTGACTCGGAGATGCCAGTAGTTATAAGCTGAATCATTATTTTATATGCCATTAAGACTGAAAAATATTCCCAATTAAATTTTGACACAATATTCTCTTATCACTTAGCTTTTTGTTGTGCTCATCTCAAAAGCACTCTCTTAAACTTATATAGACATAGCTTTTCATTACATATCATTTTGTGTGTACGCTGAAGGGAAAATACAGCAAAATAAATTAGTGAAGGTTTTCTGAAAACCTCTTCACTTTCAGAGTCTGACTCTTTTGAATTACTTTTCTGTTGAGTTGTCCAAAGATGCCCAGGTTCTTGCACTTGATATTGTCCTCTGGACCATCAAGTGCATTGGTGATTCTTCTGTTCTTTAAAGAAAATGTGGCATATATGCACCATGGAATACTATGCAGCCATGAAAAAGGATGAGTTCACGTCCTTTGCAGGGACATGGATGATGCTGGGAGATACATTTAATAAATAAAATTCATGCCATGTTCATAGATGGAATGCTAAATATTAAATATCCATTTTCCTGGAAAAAAAAAGGGGCTCCGCTATTGTCTCTGATAGTTTCTTTCATGCTGCTTATGCCTATTTTGCAAGTTTTGATGCTAGGACATTGTTTTTATCTTATTGTTGTGGAAAATTGTACACTCAAATTCCTCAAATTCTTCTTAAATGGTCAGAAGAGCTATAGGTCCAGTCATGCCTTCAGGAATAACAGTAAGTTCACACCTATGCAAGCAATAACAGCCATGTCACTACTGCCCTGTGACTATCCAAGACAGTAAGATGTTGCTAATTGCAAGATGTTAAAATGCCAAAAGCATATCTTAGAATCAACAATTTAGGTATTATTACCATAGATGAGGCTCAGGGACATTTTACCTGGTTCCCTGTGAAAGCGGTGGGAAGAGAATTAAGTTATTGAGTATCTACTTGTTTAAGTATCCCAGAAAGTTCATTTGTGTTATATCATTGAATGCTCAGGAAAACACTCTTTGAAATATGTGTTGCTTTACAGATGAGAAAGTTAAGATTAGAAGGTGAAATAATTTGCCCATAATCATAGATCATCAAATGGCAGAGCCAGAATTTAAACCCAGATCTGTCTTGTTCTCAGCTAGACCAGTCCATAAAGGTTGGAGTGGGATTAGAAGACTGGACAAGAAAGACAGCTAAGACTCAGAGAAAGCACTCTTTCACAGACCAGCACACTGCCAGTATTAAGGATACACATGAAAGAGTGGATGAAGTTCCTCGGTGTCTGAGGTTTGGTGGTTAATGGAATCAGCTTCCAGCCCACTGGCTCACTGCTTTTTATACCCTAGGCTAGAAATGGGGTCTCATCAGTTCTCAGAACTCTAGCACCCATCATATGGAGAAGTCACACTACACAAGTTAGTTATATTCTTCTCCATTCTGTTTCTTATCATTTCATCCAGCTTGCTGTAGATCTAACTATGACCTCCTGACTCAAATGACCTACTACTGAGCATAAAGCTTGTACTTTCTTTTTTGTTTGGTTTTTGTTGGTGTTGGCGTTGCTTTGTTTATTCGGTCCTAAAGTATTAAAAGGATGTCATTTTATAATGTGATCCCAAAGAAGTAACTTAAGTGAGCATTTTCTTTTCATTTTATTCAACATTTAGACAATAATGAACCAAGAAAATGTCTAGTATAAACCTGAAAAGAGCACAGCTGTTTTTGAGTGTTATACCTGAGGCTAAGATTTCTGCTGTGGGCAGAAGTGAATGGCTGGACATAAGATTTCATCATTACAGATTACATTGTTGCTCTGAGCTCCTTCAGCTCTTGGCAAGCAGCCCGGGGCTGTGTCTAAAATGAAAAGCCAAAGGGCGAGAAGTCAGTCCAAGATGGGGCTAGAGCTCTCCACGAATGGAAGTGTTTGATGAGTGCTCTGACTTCCCTTTTTGACACCCTTGTTCTACATCCTCTGTATTTTGACTCACTCCAGTTTGAAAACCTATTCTTTTGGGACACTTCACACAAAGGAACAACACTTCCCTTCAGTTCAGCAGACCAAGTTAATGCAACAGGTCCAGACAGAAGGTCTCTGGGACATGGGTGGGAGTTGGAATAAGTCTCCTTGATTTTCCCACAAGACCTTGATCTTTACATAAGACCATCTGAATGGGAACATCAGGACCCAAAGACTTTCACACAGGCAAACCAAAGTAGGGTGGCCAATGTTGTTGGAATGCCATGGTTGATAGTTGGGTCTCTAATGTCAGAGAGCTTGTATTAAACATATCTATAGGGAATGGGGTCTACCTAGCCTTGGTTCAAGGTTCAGTAATGGTGATTCTAGGTACAGGTCAGTAGGAATCGTTGGAGCACGTGTGTGTGTGTGTGTGTGTGTGTGTGTGTGTGTGTGTGTGTGTGTGTGTGAAAGAGAATGTGGAGTTCTGACTGAGAAGGTGCAGCACAGGAAGACCATGCTGAGAGGAAAACTAGAAGCTATAATTTGAGGTGGAAAATGTAAGCAGATATAGGTTATTGTGGAGCTTTCATAATCTTACTCCCTCATTCTTCATGTTTTATCTTCATAAACCCTTTTTACTTTTTCCTCATTGGCCAATTTATTCACTCAATAGATACTCATGGAGTTTCTATGATTCTGCATTCACTTTACTCAGGGAAAATGTTCATTCTCATTCAATTTCTTTATGGAAAAGAGAACTATTCTAAATATGCCTCCACATATCCCCTCTGGAGTGCACTATAGACTCTTTACTGCATCATCTCACTCTTCAAGGCATTTCCTTCTAGAAAGGCTCAATAAATGCTCAAATGCCTCCCACAAAGGAAGCCTGAGGCAAGATTTAGACCCACCATCCATCTGGAGGCACGCATTGTTATCTCTGTGCTGAAAATTCCAAATGAGGCATAACAGTCTGAGAGATTTGCCAGTTCTAAATCACTGATTTGCCCTTCCACTGGCATCCCGTTGTCCTTAAAATCATGGACAGGAGAAAAAGGTTTAAAAGAAGGGAGGGAGTCGTGAGTGGAGAAAAGAACAAAAAAGGGAAAGGAAGGGAAAGGATGGAGAGGGAAGAGAAAGAAAGAAAAGAAAATAGCCATTTCACTCTGCTGGTGGGAGGAGAATAATTCACTGAGTTACGAAAGCATCCTAATCCAGGGTCCACTTGTGTGTGTGTATGCACATGTGTGTGTTTGAACATGTGTGTGTGAAGACGAAAATGAGTACATGCAGTTTTTGTATTGCTTCAGAAATTTATTAAAATTTATCACATTTGATCCATGACCAAAGTGCTATTTATGTGCATTACAACTAAAGTATGACTACATTTAAATTACCAAATAAGCCGAGCTGAATAATCTCTACAACTGAAAATGAGATGCTCCCTCTTTCTTGGCTCTGACTTAGCATTCCTTGATTGAATTACTGATAGTTCTGTTTCAATTTAGACCAACTTCTTCTCTTCATCAAGGGTCAATTTTGGCTCAGAGACACCATGTATTTTCAACTTCTCTTCAGATTGAATGTTTTGGTGACTATACTAGTACTGATGGTAATTATCAGGCAGAGATAGGGTACAAAGTCATCCTGTATAATAATTAGCACTCTCTCCTCCAATTTGACTTTCAACCTTAGGGTCAGTCAGAGACTCTGCAAAGCTTTGCAGGGACAGATATATCACTGCTGTCTTGATATGGTTTGTCTGTGTCCCCACCCAAATCTCATCTTGAATTCCCACGAGTTGTGTGAGAGACCTGGTGGGAGGTAACTGAATCATGGGGGCAAGTCTTTCCTGTACTGTTCTCATGACAGTGAATAAGTCTCACAAGATCTGATGGTTTTATAAAGAGGAGTTCCCCTGCACAAGCTCTCTTTCTTTGCCTGCTGCCATCCATGTAAGACATGACTTGCTTTTCCTTTCTTTCCACCATGATTGTGAGGCCTCCCAAGCCACGTGGAACTGTAAGTCCATTAAACCTCTTTTCCTTTGTAAATTACCCAATCTTGGGTATGTCTTTATCAGCAGCATAAGAATGGACTAATACATGTCTCCATATCTATGAGTTGTGGCACCTGTTTCTCTCATTCTGAGTTTTCATAGACTCTTGTGCAAGAAATTCTGCTTGAAAGAATTCATTTTTGCATTCTTGATCATTCTATTATATTCATTGAAATTACTTGTCACATGAACATTATCAGTGAGTTACCACAAGCATTGCAGTTACTCGTGTGCAACTTTATTATACTTCCACAAGTTATAGCACTATGGAGGATAAGAACTTTGCCATTCTATTCATCTTTCTGTGCACTTAGTAGATACTCAGTGAATGTTGCAGAATCTATGAGGAGTTGTCATTTCTAAATGAATGCTCTTCTAGAATAAATAAGAATTTTCAGGTGTTGACAAATGGTATTCTCTTTGATATAAACCAGTTCCAAATTGCTGAGTAGTTTAGAATTTGTTTGATGTTGTCAGTTTGGGCACAGCATCATTATTTTCAGCAGTAAGTACCATTTTTAAGTGGTTATCTATCTGCCAAGCACTGTGTTTAACATATAATTTTTTTCTAATCTACTAAATAATCCTGGATATAAATTCTACCATTTTGATTTTAAAGATAAAGAAAGTGAAGCTTAGAAAGGTTAAGTAACCCGACCAAGATTGCATATATAAACAGTGAGTAATGTTGCTGGGATTCTTACCACAGTGGGTCTGCATTCATCTTCTACATCATCATACCTCTCATAACCCAACTATAAGGAAAAAAAACAGAAACTCCAAAGATTGTTTGAGATGTGTAACTTATGCAGTGGGTAGCTTTTCTGGAAGCAAAACTATTTTACCTTTATATAGCATTTTAGAATGTATTAAGTACTTATTCATATTATGACTTTATTTGATCTTCACCGAAACCTTATAAGATATTGTTTTTATTTTTATAGTCCAAAGAATTTATAGATAATCTTACTGGATCAGAAAGACTAGAAACCTGCCCCAGGACAGAAGTTGCAGAGCCAGAACTAATCACAGGATTTCTGTGGTTTCTACATGATTCAGCATCCCAAAGATAGCAAGGAATCCTAAAAGACTGAACAGAGAAGCAGTCAGCGGATGGGCTCTAGTCTAACACTGTGGAAACAGAATTGGAAGTCAAATACGTGCCAAAATGTAATGCTGATAGCATGTACATTCAAAGAACATATATAGCAACCACACTTCAGTGCTGATTGGGCAGGGTTTCCATAGCAATATGATTTATTTCCAGTAGAATTTTTCAACTGAAAAGAGTAAGCTTCCCCTCATTAAAAGAAATAAATAAAAAGTTCATCAATATTTATTTTTCCATTATACACAGATCATAATGCCTGGTTATGGCAAAAAGACCGCAATTCCCACCAGAGAGCAAAAAGGAAGTAAAGCTACCATTGTTGATCTGAAACTAAATGGATTCTTGTCCGTTGTGAGGAGCAGCAGCCTACAAAGCACACTGAATGCCAAATGTGTTGCACCAGGGCTACAGGTCTGGCTCCTTCATACCTGCACTGTACTATAATGCACAGATGTTTACACTGGTCTTCCTTAAGTAGAAAAAAAATTAAAGAGGAAGTGAACGATTTTCTTCTAGCTTTCTGTAGGGCTAAGGGAACACTTAGGCTTGAATGGGGCAGAGAAGTCAAGAACTAGAAGAAAACAACAATAATAAAAGTTAACATTTTTTGCATTCTTACTTTGTGCTGGACGCTATTCTAAGCTTCTCCTATGAATTATCTCAGTTACTGTCCCCAACAGCCCCATGAGGTAGGTATTACTACTCTCCCTGGTTTACAGATGTGCAAACCAATGCGCAAGAAGTATCCTGTCCAAGGGCACACATTTGGGGATTGGCAAAGCTAGGATTTAAGCTCTGGAATTTTGGCCCTCAAACCTGAACTTTTAACTCCTTGTCCACACAGGGAAGGAAATTAAAAAGAGAAACTTTCATGCTCAAGCTTCTACGTGTCCTATGTGACCAAACTTGAGATCTTAAGCTGCAGGTTCGCTGGGATTTCCATCATCCCAGGCTGGCTCTTCATCCACAGACTAGGGTGCTTGGAGAATGAAAAGAGACTCACAAGAAGCAAAGCCATGAAACTGATAAAGGCATCTGTTTTTCTAATGCTTTTTCATAAACATACTCATTCCTCTATAATTTCAAATATACAGCTTTCTCCAAAACTCCCTCTACAGCTCAAAGTCTGCTGAAGCCCAGATTTTGGTGAAGCTGCAATTTGATTAGCTGATAATAATTATTTCAAGTTCAAACCTCCGATTTGAACTTGAAATAATTTGCCATTCAGCAATTGTCGTATTTGGAGAAATAGGGTCTGATCCACATTCCTTTCAGCCAAGGAATGATGATATTGTACAATGGCTGCATTCCACACACCAGCTATCTTTGATGACCTTGCAGATAAAAATATCTTGATTAAAAACAAGTACTTTGGCAGCTACTTGATGAGAGCAAAAACCAGAAAAGTTTTTCTGTGAGCTGGAGTAAGAAGATAAATATTGGGGAAGCAGTTTTGCATAGCCATTAATAATGTCACTTCTTCAGGAGGGTCAAATCTCATTTCTACCATCTACCAGTAACCTTGAACAAGTTATGTAACCCCTCTAAGGCTCAGTTTGCTCCTTTATAAAATGGGGCAAATGGTACCACCCTCATAGTGTTATAGAAATTAAGTGAGATAATAAATATTTAGCAGTTAGAATGGTATCTGGCACACTATAAGCCTCGGCCCTGGCTTCCTTTACCTTTGCATGCCAATGATACTAAACTTTTTGAAGTTGTCCAGACATGCCATGTTATATAAGGCATCAGTGCCTTTCTACTCTGCCTGGAAGTCCTATCTCTTATATATTCTCTTGAAAAATACCCTTCATTCTTCAAGTTCAGCTGAAGTTACTCATGTCTCACCCAGGCAGTCTTCCATATCTCTTCTATCCTTCCACTGTTTCTAGTAATCCACTTCATAATGCTTATTTAAACTGCAATGATTTGCCAGAATATCTTTCTCTTCATTCAACTATTTGAGTATATATTAATCCCCAGTGCCCAGCACAGAGCCTGGCACATGATGGGCACTCAATAAGTAGTTGTATTCAACAACTACTTATTGTAGTCAACAAATACTGAATTTCGGTATGAAATCCAGTCATATTCAACAAATTAAAATGATAAAATCTTCAGGAGGTAGTAACAATCTAATATCAATCAGAAGGGCTCTAACCATGAAATCTAAAGTACATTCCCACTTTGGTTTTAACTGAACCCCAAAGCTTTAGAAACTATAGTCCCATTAGACCCAGAAGAGATTATAGATAATTTTGTAATGAGGCCAGTGAAGCAGTTACAATGGCATCTGGCACACTGTAAGCCTCAGCCCCTGCTTCCTTTGCCTTTTGCATACCAGTGATACTGAACTTTTTCTCAGCCTGAAAAAGAGGCTGAGATCTTGACCCAACTTCCACAAGAGAAATTCCACAGAATTCAAATTCTTATTTCATGTCCAAATCAGCACATAGTAATTGATTTTTTTGCCATCTAGTAAGTTTTACAAATAATAATGGACCAGGGGACACTGATATATAAAAACACATTGTCTTAGTCCATTTTGCATTGCTATAAAGGAATGCCTCATACTGGGTAATTTATAAGGAAAAAAAAGCTCATAATTGAGATGATTTGGTTCATAATTCTTATGTCTGGAAAAGTTAAAGATTAGGCATCTGATGAGAGCCTCAGGCTGCTTCCATTCATGGCAGAAGGTAAAGGGGAGCCAGCTTGCGCAGACATCACATTCTGAGAGAGGAAGCAAGAGAGAGAGGAGAGGTGCCAGGCTCTTTTTAACAACCAGCTCCCTTGGGAACTAATAGAGAACTTACTCCTCACCCTAACCTCCACCTCCACCCTCAGGGAAGGTGTTAATCTATTCATGAGTGATCTGACCCCATGACCCAAACTCCTCCCATTAGACCCCATCTCCAATATTGGGGATCAAATTTCAACATGAGATTTGGAGAGGACAAACATCCAAACTGTAGTACACATCAAGAATAACTAGAGTATTTTTTTTTTCACGCTAAACTAAGGATCTATGGAAATAGTGATATCCCTTTTATTGTTCCAAAGGGACATCCAGTTGTTGAGCAGCTTCACTATAATGGAAACAGAGCTAAGACCTAAGTCTGGAAACTAGCCCATCCACACAATTCATAGCTCCCCAGGCCTAGACTACTGTAGCAGGGAGGATGAGAGCATATTGAAAAGGACAGAATATTTCCACTTTTCCTGAATGAGATCTGAGAGAATATGCACTAAACAAATACCTTATAAAGTCACACTGTAGAACACCCCCTCCACACCCCAACCCCATGTAGCCTGTTGACCAGACTATATAAAGCTGTATCAGCTCATAACCAATGGAGAGAGCCAAAATCATAAGTATCAGGCAAAGGCCCCAGAGCAGAGGGAAAAGCAAGGCTTTTTCTCAGGCAGACTCCATGAGAAAAGCCAGATTATACAGGGTGTCTGCAGGCTTGGGGGGGACGTATGAGGTCCCACAAAATTACTTTACAGACTAAAATTGCTTTTGTGTACATCCATCTACAATGTCATGGTCAGAAGGAATATGTGTGTGTATACACATAAAAACACATACCATATTTTCCTCAAGATACAAGACAATCTGATACTTAAAAAAAATCAATCTGATACTTAAAAAAATCAATAGGATGGCAAAAGTGTGTCCAGCTGGAGTCCACAAAATCCAATTTACATTTCTCATCATTTTTCCATGTGGCTGTTTTCAGGTTTCCATAGGAGGACAATGGGTATTCCCTACTCTGATATTTCCTTCCATGTGGTGGGTGTTCAGTGAGAGTGATGCTCTACTGTCTATCTGCTCCTTTAATGGTTCCTGTCCAATAAGAGTGACTGATCTTATTGGTGAGTTTAGGAAAGGAACTAGGCAAAAGTAGCTCAGTCTTTTCTCTCTCCTTCCTCTAGGGAGTCGACTGCTCACAGAAAGCAAGCATTCTGTTCTAATTCTGTGCTGTAAGCTTTGCAATAAGAGGCTCCATATGAGAAGGCTGGTGGTTGCCCAGCTGGGCTTATGACAGGTGGGTCTGTCTGATTCTGGGTGCAGAATAGGAAGTTAATTCTTCCTGCACCTAAATCACATTCACCAACCTAATCTATACCATCAAAAAAGCTGATATGTTGGACACCAGCTGCCTGATTGGTTCAATTTTGAACCAATTGGTTCAAAACTAGATAGAAGAAAAGGAGTACATGGGCATACTTCAAAAATATTGTGGGTTTGGTTCCAGATCACCACAACAATGTGAAATCTTTTTTTCTCTCAGCAGTAGATCTCAACAATAGGCTTAAAATATTCAGTAAACTGTGCTACAAAGAGATATGCTGTCATTCAGACTTTGTTTTCCCATTTATGAAGCATAGGCAGAGTCGATTTAGCATAAACATTAAGAGCTTTAGATGTTTGGAATGGTAAAAGAGCATTGGCTTCAACTTAAGGTCACCAGCTGCTTTAGCCCCTAGCAAGAGTCAGCCTGTCCTTTGAAGCTTTGAAGCCAGGCATTGACTTATCTTCTCTAGATGTGAAAGTCTTCTTCCAATAGAAGACTGTTACGTCTCCATTGAAAATCTGTTGTTTTGTGTAGCCACCTTGATCAATTATCTTAGGTAGTTCTTCTGGACAACTCGCTGCAGCTTCTACATGAGCACTTGCTGCTTCACCTTGCACTTTTATGTTATGGAGATGGCTCCTTTCCTTAAACCTTATGAACCAACATATGCTAGCTTTGAACTTTTCTTATATAGCTTCCTCACCTCTCTCATCCTTGATAGAATTGAAGAGAGTTAAGGCTTTGCTCTGGATCAAGCTTTGGCTTAATGGAATGCTTACTGGGGAGTTGAACAGAGGAGGCTTCCAGGGGGAATAGCGTGAATGTGTGATCTACTGGGCTTCATGGCTGCAGGGTGATATCACCATGGCTCATGGATAGAGGGGAAGGAGCCCAGATGGATGAGCCAAAATGACTCCACCAGGCTGGGTCACAGGGTGACACATTAGCCTGGGTTCCAGGCTAGATGAAGACCTCATAGACTTCATAGAGACACTCCAGATGCACAGGCTAAGGGGGAAGTTTGGAAAGGAAAGGCTCTGACAGAGCAAACAGATGGTATTGAGAAATCTTCTCAAAAGAACTTTGCATCATCCTCTGCTTTGGTTTTGCAGATGTGATTACATCAACTCCCAAGGATGAGAGAATTTGCTACAGATCAACAAGCATTTTCAAACAATAAAAATTGTATAGTATGTATCTCACCAATTTTAAGGTGATGAGTGAGCCTGGCAAATTCCAATTTTCATTATGAGAAAGACTAAATAGAATGTATTATTTTTGTATGCATGCTTTCATATCTAAAGATTTAGGGTTTTACATAACATTGTATGTTTTTTTCCATTTTCAGACACACCCAGATGTTTTTAATCTATGCAAAATAATGATGGATACTTGCTACCTTCTTCAACTAATTTTCAAGATGTATTTATATAAAATAAAAGAGTCTTTTAAAGCACAACTTTTTTCAAATGTATTTGTTACTGCACCTTTTGCCCTGGAAAATTATTTTTCTATTTTTATTTTTATTTTTTGAGACAGGGTCTCACTCTGTCACCCAGGTTGGAGTGCAGTGGTGTGATCACAGATCACTGCAGCCTCGACCCCCACAGGCTCAAGTGATCCTCCCACCTCAGGCCCCTGAGTAGCTGGGACTACAGGCATGCACCACTATACCAGCTGATTTTTAAAACTTTTTGTAGAGACAGAATCTCACTACATTGCCCAAGCTAGTCTCAAACTTCTGGTCTCGAGCCACCCTCCCACCTCAGCCTCCCAATGTGCTGGGATTACAGGCATACGCCACCACACCCAGCCTTATTATTTTGCTCTTTAGAGATAAGATATCCAAACTTCAAAAATATTGTTAATTTGGTACAAGTTAAATCTCAGAAATTTTGGAAACAATCGCCTTCTGTAATATATGTAAAATATTATACACAGTGTCTGGCATACAGTTAGTGCTAAATAAAAGTTTTTCCCTCCCTTCTTCCTCCTCACTTACCTCATTGCCAGGGGCCATTTGGGAAAGAACCCTACCTTCTCATCCTTCCTGCATTGGCGTTCCCATTCCATTCCCATTCCTAATCTCCCTGAAGATACGAAAAATCTTCAAGATATTTCTGCTTAAATTGCACCAGGTGCTGAGAATGCAGAGATGACTCAGTCTTTGCCCAAAGAAGCTGACAGCCTAGAGGGGGAGAAAGGCATGAAAACCTTTAACAAACTCAGTCAGACACTCACCTGTCTGTATCTAATTCTATGGTTTTCTGTTACATTATGCTGTGATCATCTCACCTGGCTAGCTCTCCACTGGTTTTCTTCTTCCTTGGACCACTGTCTGATGAATGGGGTCAGCCCTTATAAATTATGCCTGCCTCACACAGCCCTTCAAACTAAACTGCAGAAGAGTAATAGCTACATGGCTAGGCTTAATAGAGGCCTTAAACAGGCTTTCTAAATGAAGGAGAATCTGTTCTTGAACAGGGAGATAGTTTTAAAAGTAAGTATTTGTGTAGCAAAGACACCTACCTACTCACAATTTGGATTTTAGGAAACAATTTTTCTCACTTCTTTTCATTTTTACCCATCAAACCTTCCATTTAATAAGTACATATGGAGTGCCTGCCTTGGACCAGGCACTGTGTAGGGTTAAGATGAGTTGAACATGGTGCCTGCCCTCAAAGAGTTCACAGCCAAGGAGAGAAGAAAGGCAACTCAACAGGAAATGAGAAGGGAGTGTGATGAAGGTAATGACAGAGTCATGCACATGGAGCTTCAGAAATACAGAGGAGATTCACTTCAATCAATTTGGTAACACTTGTTCCTTCACAATGTCTCCCTGGCCAAGTTAATCTCCATTACTGTAAGAGCAGTGATCCTGGCACAGAGAATAAGAAGGTTATTTTTCCTGATTCCAATTTGGCTCCCAGGAAAGTGGAAGTGGTATGTCTTAAAGTTTGCATTCTTACTGCTAAAGCAGTTAAGGTTATTAAGATATTGGTCTCAGTCTGACAGTCTTCTGGACTCTGTATTCAACATCCCTGAGAACATCTCAGGATGCACATCTCAAAAAATGGCAGCAGGACTGTCAATGGCATAGTCAGAGCTCCTCCCAATAAAGTCTGGGTTTAGAACTGGTTTTGTCCACACTGAACAGAAACTTATCCCCTCATATTTCCACTCTTGGTCCATTGGTATCCCACTAACACTTGGTGTGCATCATCACCTCTTTGCTTTTTGCACCTCCAAGCTGGATTAGACATTTTCATTTCCCTCTAATTCTTTCTCTCTCCCGACATCCCACTTTTTTTTTTTTTTTTTTTTTTTTTTTTTTTTTTTTTTGAGGCAGGGTCTCACTCTGTCACCAGGCTGCGTGCAGTTCAGTGTCACCATCAAGGCTCACTGCAGCTTTGACCTCCTGGGCTCAGGTGGTCCCCCTACATCAACGTGTTGAGTAGCTGAGACCACACAGGAGCACTCCACCATGCCTGGCTAATTTTTGTATTTTTTGTAGAGAGGGGGTTTTGCCATGTTTCCTGACCTTCTAATTCTCTTTTTTAAAGGTGTGTCCTCTAACTCTTTATTCTCGTATCAGGACGGATGAGCTGCGGGGCCAAGGAGACTCTCTCACCTGATTCCAGTTCAGAGAACTAAGAGATATGGCATGTCCTTTCTTGGGTTCTACCACTGCTATTTCTAAAGTAAGAAGTTTTGTAGTGCTAGGGGTAAATATGGGGTTGGAAGAAAAGACCTAGGCCAGGTGCTGTGGCTCACGCCTGTAATCCCAGCACTTTGGGAGGCCAAGGTGGGTGGATCACCTTAGGTAAAGAGTTTGAGACCATCCTGGGCCAACATGGTGAAACCCTGTCTCTACTAAAAATACAAAAAAAAAAAAAAATTAGCTGAGCGTGGTGGCACGTGCCTATAATACCAGCTACCTCAGAGACTGAGACAGGAGAATCGCTTGAACCCAGGAGGCGGAGGTTGCAGTGAGTGATCGTGCCACTGCACTCCAGCCTGGGCAACTCCATCTCAAAAAAAAAAAAGAAAAGAAAAGAAAAAAGAAAAGAAAAGAAAAGAAAAGACCCAGTAAACGCCCTGGAACCTGTGGCAGAGTGGAAGGTAGGGGAGACCAGAACATGAAAGTGGGCCTGGTGTGGCCAGAGCTAAAAGTTAGGAGGTAGTCTTATCAACCAAGCCAAACTCAGCCTAAGATGGAGAGATTAAAAGTGCTTAAAAATATATTAATTTCTTAAAATAACATTTAAACAGGCCGGGTGCAGTGGCTCATGCCTGTAATCCCAGCACTTTGGGAGGCCGAGGCAGGCGGATCATGAGGTCAGCAGATCGAGGCCATCCTGGCTTACATGGTGAAACCCCATCTCTAAAAAATACAAAAAATTAGCAGGGCATGGTGTCAGGTGCCTGTAGTCCCAGCTACTCGGGAGGCTGAGGCAGGAGAATTGCTTGAACCCAGGAGGCGGAGGTTGCAGTGAGCTGAGATCATGCCACTGCACTCCAGCCTGGGCGACGGAGCAAGATTCTGACTCAAAGAAAAAAAAAAAACTTTTAAACATAAATAGAAATCAAGTTTAAAATATTTTATGCTTTGACACAGACAGTTGTTTTAAAAATTGTTTGGCAATTATGAAATTTTTGGTAATGTTTTACAAATTATTGGAGTTGCTGGAAACATCACTAGGGTTTTAAGGGAGAGCTATTTATGAAAGTAGGGGCGCTTCAAGCTTCAAGCTTGTCATAAACAGCTCCTCCTTAAAACTTTAGGTGAGAGTAAGAGCTTCTCAAAAACTTTTTTTTCTTATTGAAAAAAGATTTTACATTACTGTGTGATTCAGAAGTGTTGCTTCTGCTTTTGCCTTGTTGGGGAAAGGGAGAGACGCCGCTCCCAGGAGGGGAGGAGAAAGACGCTGTGTTTTTCTCCCTCTACTCACAGTTCTTCTTCAGTTCAATGAATGACAACGAGACTAAAATAACAGAGCAATAAAAGCAACTATGTATTGCTACAAAAACAACTATCTTACTTCATTGCAGAGTTAAGCTCTTTATAAGCCTAGAGACTTCCATAGCAAATCAAAGAGGGACAAAATTAACATGTTTGCATGGCTTTTTTTTTATATGAACAGACACTTCTCAAAAGAAGACATTTATGTGGCCAAGAAACACATGAATAAAAGCTCATCATCACTGGTCATTAGAGAAATGCAAATCAAAACCACAATGAGATACCATTTCACACTAGTTAGAATGGCAATCGTTAAAAAGTTAGAAAACAACAGATGCTGGAAAGGATGTGGAGAAATAGGAACGCTTTTACACTGTTGGTGGGGGTGTAAATTAGTTCAACCATTGTGGAAGACAGTGCGGTGATTCCTCAAGGATCCAGAACTACAAATACCATTTGACCCAGCAATCCCATTACTGGGTATATAACCAAAGGATTATAAATCATTCTACTATAAAGACTCATGCACACGTATGTTTATTACAACACTATTCACAATAGCAAAGACTTGGAACCAACCCAAATGCCCATCAATGACAGACTGGATAAAGAAAATGTGGCACATATACACCATGGAATACTATGCAGCTATAAAAAATGAGTTCATGTCCTTTGTAGGGACATGGATGAAGCTGGAAACCATCATTCTCAGCAAACTAACACAAGAATAGAAAACCAAACACTGCATGTTCCCACTCATAAGTGGGAGTTGAATAATGAGAACATATGGGCACAGGGAGAGGAACATCACACGCTGGGGCCTGTCGGGGGTGGGGTGGGGGCTAGGGGAGGGATAGCATTAGGAGAAATACCTAATGTAGAAGACGGGTTGATGGGTGCAGCAAACCACCATGGCACATGTATACCTATGTAACAAACCCGCATGTTTTACGCATGTATCCCAGAACTTAAAATATAACTTAAAGAAAAAAGAACTGAAAGAAAATGTAGAAAAGTACCTTAGCAGTTTCTATGAACCATAACTGATGAGGTTTAATGAATAACGTGCTAAAAACATACATAGATGTTTATTTCTGTAAATCTCGCTCTATAAGAGTAGTGTTCTCTAATGTTCTTATACCTATTTTCAAAATGTCATATTTTACAAGATGATAACTGGGTAGAAAAGTGGGGTTTTTTGTTTTTTTTGTTTTTTTTCAGTTCACTTGCCTGCTATACAGATTCTCTGACCAAAACTAAAGTACCTCAAGTGACTTCAAGTCAGGATATACAAATTGCAGGAACACTCCATAATGGGTTTGGGATTAGCACATTCTTAAGTAATGAATTTGCAAACTTAAATATAAAATGGCAAGGGGTACTCAGTAAATGCCTATCTGAATAATAATATGTCAAACTTACAGTGATCAAAACATCTTAATGATTGAACAAAAACCATTCTCTTTGAGCTCTGAAGGCAGTAAACATGAATAAAAGTCTTGCCAAAAATTATTTTGGAGGCCAAATGGTGGCTTCTATGGTATTAATTGTCAGAGTTGAAATCAAAGTCAAAGCCACCTGTGAGAAAAATGAAATTTCTCAACCCTGAGAATGATAGTGTAATTTTTTTTTTCCTGAGGTATGTGTAGATAATTCAAAACTGTAAGCTGGGTTTACCCTTTGGAATCACATATCTTGAAAGAGGCTAGATCACAAGAAAGCCATTCACTGCTCTCTTCCCTTCATGGGCACTGGCCTTTGGAACCCAGCCACCATGCTGTGAGGAAGCCCAAATAAGCCCAGGCAGAGAGACCACATTGGGAGGCCCCATATAGGTGTTCTGGCCAACTGAGCCCAGCAGAGACCCTAATCTACAGTATCCACTGCCAGACATGTTGAGTGGAGATACCTCCAGATGACCCCAGCACCAAGCTGTTGAATCTTTACAGCTAAAAAGCCCCAGACATGTGGAGCAGAAGTTAGCCGTCCTTGCCATGCACTGTCTGAATGACTCACAGGATCTATGAGTATTATCAGATGATTGTTCCATCCAGCTTAGTTCTGGGGTGGTTTCTCACATAGCAATAGTAACTGCAAAAATATCTTGAAGTCTCCCAGTCCAGAGAAGCTCTGTTATAGTATCTTGAGAACAAATCTCCAGTCTTAATTCAGGATAGAAGAGAAGCAAATGCCGGCCATTTGGACTCAGAATCTAACAACTTCTTTAATGTACTTTCAGTTATGCTTATCCTTAATCACACACATACTCCCACTTCCAGAGGTCTTGGTGCCATCAATTCCTAAGACTTTTGAGGGGTCCGCTAAATTTTTTCTCACCTTCCCCTTATGCCAGCTCAGGATCCCACTTTCTTTGCCTCTAAGGTCATTGCTTTAGTTCCCCAGCTTCCACAATTTTGTTGCTGTAGTCTTCTCTTCCATTTCTTTTTCCTGAGAGTTTATGCTTTAAAAAATCATCATATTGATGTACTAATTGAATTTGTGGAGGAAATGGGATTAAATGAACATGTTCAATTTACTGTCTCCAATTAGAATTTTACCTAGCACTTGTATATCTTTTCTGGATGCTATGACTCTGTTTTCTTTTATTTTTTAATTAAAATCAATTACTCAAGAGCGCTGGATGCAAGAAGGCTTGTGCTTTATTGAAAACAGCAACAGCAACAAAAATCTTTACACTCACTATCTTTTTCAAATCTTTTAGTTCTTTGAGGTTTGTCCAAACACATGTGAGTCTGAAATCTCCCCCTTTCTCTAATTCCAAACATCATCAAAGAGCTTTTGTGTATGGTCTGTGTTGCATATTCATAAGAAGTTTTAAAAACACAGACTCATTTCTGAAGGAGAAGACAACTTAAAGATAGAAAACAATGTAGAGAAAACACCAAGACTGTCAAAGAGCATGCCATAATTGTAAATAATAAGTAGATTGGATAAAAGATTTACAGACTGAATGAGCTAAAGGTAGAGTAGGTGGTGTAGGCCATGGTGTCAAGAAAGTTAGAGGTTTTTTTGCTGTGGTCACAGCTGTTACCACTTAACAGGACCTCTGACATGTCCCTTTTCCCCTGCAGACAGGGCCTTGGAGACTGCTGTTTCTGCTGTTGGACTCTTCAGAAATGGGAGACTCTCCCTCTCCTGTTCTCTGTCTTTGCAGAAAAGAAAACACTTCTCCCTGGGGTACAATGTCCCCCAACCTCTCAGCTGAGTCACAGCCTTTCTGTTACTTGCTGCAGGTCTTCCTCATTGTCTCAGCCATTGGATGGCTGCAAAGGGCTACCCAGAGAAACCATTCTCCACAGTTAACCAGTTAACCAGCACTTCCATTCCCTACTTCTAGACCTGCTAGTATTGGACAGCCATTCTGCTATTTCCCTACCACATTCTGACTCATTCCAAACTCGAATTCTTCTCTATGTGGGAGCCTCTCTTTCTCATTCTCTTTGGGGGAAAAAAAAATTATATATATATATGTAAAATATATACTCTTTTTGTCGTTTTAAAAGGATCGGGTAGCCTGAAGTAGCTTTGTATGTGATAACCCTAGCCAATGAATGATCAAGCATCCTGTGATCATGTGAAAACCATGCCTATTAATTCACAAGTGTTTTCTTTAATAGATATGAGGTTGGTAGTCCTTAGAAGAATTGTATATGTTCAAGTATTTAGTTTTTTAAAGTAAGCTTGAAATTTCTCTAAGTGTAACCTTAAACTAGTGTCATTTATTTTAAAATAGTATATAAAGCTTTTTTTTTTTTTTTTTGAGATGGAGTTTCGCTCTTGTTGCCCAGGCTGGAGTGCAATGGCGCGATCTCGGCTTATCACAACCTCCATCTCCCAGGTACAAGTGATTCTCCTGTCTCAGCCTCCCAAGTAGCTTGGATTACAGGCATGCGCCACCATGCCCGGCTAATTTTTTTTGTATTTTGTAGAGACGGGGGTTTCACCATGTTAGTCAGGCTGGTCACAAACTCCTGACCTCAGGTGATCCACCTGCCTCAGCCTCCCAAAGTGCTGGTATTACAGGCATGAACCACCATGGCCGGCCACATTTTTATACACCAAATAAACAGTATATAAAAGCATTTTTGAAATTATATGCCTCTGACAATTATCTGTGCAAATACTTTCATGCATATTAGGGTATTTATTTGTTTAATCAAGTCTAAATAACTTAAGGAATATGAAAATAGTTAAAACGCCAAAGAAGAAATGCTTAAGTGAGAAACAAATGGGCTAATGGACAAAATGAAACTAACACTATGAAGACAAAGAAGGACACATATCAGAAACAAGAAAGAGTGAAATGCCAAAAGACTAATGAAATAGAAGCATCTAATGAGATCCCTAACAAACCATAGTGAAGATAAAAGAATGTGATAGGAAATGTGTTGACTTTCTGTAAACTTTCACGTTGGCCTCACATCACACATGTCTCTTATTTCATCTGACACAACTGCACTTCTCAGAGGCAGACAAGGCAGTTCTCTATACATTTCACACTTTTACAGTCACCATCAACAAATTAAAGAAGCATATTTATTAAATAGAATATGCTATACCTTTAAAACCTATTTTTATTCATAGTTATGCGCTAACCTCAATAATTGAACCTCCTGTGATCCCAGCACTTTGGGAGGCCAAGGCAGTTGGATCACTTGAGGCCTGGAGTTTGAGACCAGCCTGGCCAACATAGCAAAACCCCATCTCTACTAAAAAATACAAAAATTATCCAGGCGTGGTGGTGCATGCCTGTAATCCCAGCTACTCAGGAGGCTGAGGCAGAAGAATCACTTGAAACTGGGAGGCGGAGGTTGCAATGACCTGAGATCACACCACTGCAATCCAGCCTGTGTGACAGAGTAAGACTCCATCTCAAAAAAACAAAGCAAACAAAAAAAAGAACCCATTTAATATAATGGCTAAGAAAACAGATTGTACAACATTATGTTTAAGTGACAAATATAAGTAAATAATTACAATTTAATGATATTTTTATTAATACATTTAAAATCCTTTGGTTCAGGTTACTCCAAAGAAAATGTGATAATTTTCAAGTAAACCATAACAGTTCTTTTTAAATTCTCTCCTAATTCCCATTCCTTCTCTTCAGAGGCAACCACTGTTAGGTACTTAATTCATTATGTAATTAGGCGTATGTACTTCCAGTCTTTTTCTATGCATTTTAATATGGATTGGCTGTGTCCCCACCCAGATCTCATCTTGAATTGTAGTTCCCATAATCCCTACGTGTCGTGGGAGGGACTCAGTGGGAGGTAATTGAATCATGAGTGTGGTTTCCCCCATGCTATTCTCGTGATAGTGAGTAAGTAAGTTCTCATGAGATCTGATGGTTTTATAACGGGCTTGCACCTTTATTCTCTCATTCTCTCTCCTGCCACCATGTGAAAAAGGACTTGTTTGTTTCCCCTTCCACCATGATTGTAAGTTTCCTGAGGCCTTTCCAGCCATACTGAAATGTGAGTCAATTAATCCTCTTTCCCTTATAAATTACCCAGTCTCAGGCATGTCTTTATTAGCAGAGTGAGAACAGACTAATACATATTTACACACCTATGAGTATATATACACTTGTGGTGGGCAGAATAAAAACCTCCCAAAGATGTCTACATGCTATGCCCTGGAATTGTGAATATAGTAGATTATATAGCACAGGGCAGTTAAAGTGGCTAATCAGCTGACTTTAGAGAGAGACATGAACCTGGATTATCTGTGTGAGCCCAGTGCAGTCACGGGAGTTCTTAAATGTGTAAGAGGGAGGGAGGAGAACCAATGTCAGAGTGACGCAATGTGAGAAAGACTTGAGTGGCTGTTGCTGGCTTTAAAGATGGAGGAAAGGGCCAGGAGCTAAGGAATACAGACAGCCTCTAGAAGCTGGAAAAGATAAGAAAACAATTTTTCCCCCGCAGCCTCCAGAAAGCAATAAAACCATGCCAGCATTTTAATTTTAGCCTAGTGAGACTTACTTAGGACTTCTGGCCTAAGATACTGACAGTGGGAATTGCTTAATAAATGGCCTACCCAGTTTATCCAACAGTGATGTTCGGAATAAATAAGCTCTATGCAGATACACAGTTTCTAATCAGCTCTTTTCTCCATTTATAATCATGAGCAAATAGACAAAGATCCACAGATATCTGAAGAAAGCCTTATACATGAAAAATAGAAAACAATGTTTTAAAAAAGCTTGGAGTAGTCAAATCTGTTAGTCTTCTCCTGTAGGGCTTCTGGATTTTTGTGAATTGATAAGCAAAACCTGCCCTCTTTTTCCATCAAGATACTAAGGTTGTTTTCTATATTTTCTTTCAGTTCTTATAATGTTTTAGGTTTTCATTTTTAGCCCTTGCTTTATAACCCTTTTACCCATAATAAGCCTGGGCTGATGGTCTCAGCCTTCTATAGTATATACAGATTATCAGTGCCTTTATATCATGATCTCTCCCATCCTGAGGGGTTCTAGCCCTCAAGGTTTTGTGATAAGGAGTGAGTAATAATTACAAAACTAATTTGTAAAAATAAAGTTTAAAAAATTATAAAGCACTACTCAAATATAAAGTTTTAGAATGCTGATGATGATGATTACCAATATTTCCCACAGCTCTATTCTTTGCCAATTATTTGCAGGCACTTCTTTCTCATCATCTCATCTCTGTATTTCTGACTTCCCTTTTGTTTCTGCCTCATCGGTCATGTCCCCAGAATTCCCAATAAGGAATTCTATATCACCTGGGAAGATGGACTCTGCATCACCAGAAACAGGCCTGAGCAGCACAAAAATCTCGGAGTTCTCATAATGTCTCTAGCATCACCATTTAGAGCAACCTGGATAAAGGCAATTGCTTCACACAGACAAAAGCAAATCATCCTCTGGGCCCCACCTGCTGGGGTTTATTTACCAGGCTGGTATTCCAAACAGAAGCTCCACTCACTTTATCTCTTATTCAGGCTTCAGAGGGTGCCAGACACAGGTGGCAGACACATACCCTACACCATGGCTGAAGTCCTGAGTAAGCTTGTTAATAAAAGTTTCTCCAGCTTCATCTAACAACAGGGGTGTGTTGAATAAAACTCTCAGTCAACTGTTGGCTCTGCCTCCTTGAAAGGAAAGCAGTGAGACAGGAAAGGCATCCAACCGAGATAAAAGCTAAGCTAACAAATGATAGCATTTCTAAAACAAATCATTGGACTTGAATGCCCTGGAATGAAATAGAAGAGGAGGGAGTGTCAGAGAAGAGCACAGGACGAACCCAACCTTTTGGTCAACAGAAGGCAGGGGGCTGACAGAAGACCTTGATATAAGACGTGGGTCTTTCTGACAGTTTTCCCAAGATGCTGCCCGGCCTGTATTATGCTACTCTTCCTGTTTGCCCCATACTTCCTGTCTTCTTCACATGGTGCATGCTGAAAGGACATGTTAGGCTGTCATTCTAGGCTGATAATTATTTTCACTGTTCTGTTTAAGAAAACAGTCTATTGGGGAGAAACACAGAGTTGATGGAGAAGAAATAGCCTCATTGTCTTAGCATGGACAAGGGGTAGTGAGAAATGATGAACAAATGTGATGATGGAAAGGTTTGGATGGTGGAGACAAGATCATGCCCAGGCCTCTTAGGTCACAGTCTTGCTCCTACATCAAGGCGATCTCTGAGTCGCTGTGCTGTAAAAGCATAGCTAGGCCACTGGAGAGTGCAGAGGGAAACCATCCCAATCCATGCTTTCTTAGTACCTTCTTTGTGCTAGGCATTATGCTATCTTGGAAAGGGCATAAAGATAAGCAAGACATCCTTGTGCCCCCAGAGGCACATCACTCAGCAGAGGTAAAGGAAAACAGGAACATGTGACTCATTTGAAGAGTGTCAGCAGGATTTGGTGATTGTCTTCAATAAAACTCTTTTGGTTTCAAGGATGAACTTGACCTAACCTTCGCATGGGGGTGGGTATCACAGGTGCTACATCATGGAAAAACCAAGTATTGCAAAGGGCAGTAATACGGTAGAGTCTCAGAGTCAATTGGAACTGAGAACTTGAATGCTGCCATGAACTCTTTTTTCATCTTAAGCAACTGCATCCTTCTTTCCTCTTTACCTGTTGATTATCCTCTACTTCTCTAGTAAAGCATTTGATAGAATTCAGCTATTAGAGAAATTATTTTTGTCCTTTCTTGATTCCAAGTCTAAAAGTCCTAGGTGGAATGTCATTGATCCATCTTGATTTGTGTTCCATCTCTGATCAACCCACAGAAGTGAAGGAACAGCTCCATGTAAGAGCATAGATGCTCTAGTAGGAACCTCGCAACTACCCTCTTCAACTTGGTAAATCCCTATAAGCTTTGCTTCTCATAGTCACTTTAAGCCTTCTGATGTTTATCTGTTTTTTCTGCTTTTCTCACAGAGTCTTATGTCCATTCAGATTCCCCTTTCTCTGCCCAGCTCTTTCAGAATAATGAGCAATTTGAATGATCTGTGTAGTTTGAACCTGCTCTGTGAACACTGGCCATAGGCTCATGATGTCTATCCAGCCCAGGCTCCTGGATGCCAGGCACCATTGCCTAGGCAGTGATATTATGATGTCCATCAAATGACCATGGAGTTACCCAGAACACTGTTTGAAATGTGGGTCTGGAGCTCAAAAGAGCATTTGGATTGAAGGCATTGATTTAGGGGAATTGTGTGCCTGGGGATGACAGCAGAAGTTGTGCAAGCCTATATATCATTACCAAAAAAGAAAATGGTGTGTGAGAAAAGAAAAGAGCCAACGAGGACATGGAGTACCCTATATATAGGCAGAGGAGAAGAAGACTTCATGGGAAAAAAAAAAAGCCAGAAGATGAAGAGTAGGAGGGAATTTGATTGACTTAGAGGACTGACTTGTATTATGCTGCAGGCAACTCTTAGCTATCCAATGGCCAGAAGTGCTAGACTTCAAAGTCCATGATTTCTCTCCATTTTTCTATTTCTAGTCCTCTATTTCACTTCTTGATAACATTACCATTTGGGGCCGAGAAAGCAGATGAATCAATTTCATTTTGCTTCAAACACTAGGCCTGATAAAAAAGAGCTGACTGGATAGGGAAATGGCAAATGTGCAAAGTAAAGATTTTTTTATTTTCTTATTTATGGATTTTTATTCATCCCTTCTAACAGGGCATTAAAATTTTATTTCATTTTATAGTTGCTTAGGATTCTAAGAAACAAACTGACTGCCTTCCAAGTTTAGGAGACCAAGGTATATAAGATTGCTTATTATTGCCTAGAAAGGTCTTTCACTATAGGATACGCTTTTTATGTCATCCTGTTGTCCTTTTATTTACACACTTGGCATTTAAACCATGGCAGGAAATGGACAACCCTACTGAGAAAAATATATGTCTATGTTTGCAATAGCATTCATTGCCTAACTGTTTTGGCCAGTTTCCATGCTTGTGAGTATATTAATAGATATATTAACTGCAAAAGGATATAACCGTCAATTAACATAGATGTTGGAGGTCATAAATGAATAAGTTCTTCTTTTCTCATCAGTGATGTAAAATATTCCTCAAGGTTTTGAAAATCAGATCTTGTGGGTCAGATTATGGTGATTTGTCAGGCAAAGTGCGTGTCCTGGGATTTTTTTTAATAAACAGCTCATATCAATTTTCTGCAAAAGCCATTCATCATCAGTTTCTGAAATCAGTAGTAAAGGAAATTTTCCAGTGCCTTTTAAAAAATCCTTTCTTTTTATACATTGAACAATGAGCCAATTGAATAAAATCAGAAATCCTTCAAAGAAACAACAGCAATTAAGATAAATGGAAGTAACAACCACAGAAGTTGTGGCACCACCCTAAAGTATTATACCAGGACAACACTCCATTGGGCACTTCAAATATTTAGTGACAGGGACCATGTTAACTCCTATCACGTTTGCACTGTACTTACTTTGGCACACACTGCCAGCCTCCTACATATTCCCATTCCTATTTAAATCACATTTCCAACATACTTCTTTATATTAGACATTCCGCTCCTGATCCACTGAAAGGCCACCTTTTAAGTGTGGGGCTTCAGCTGACCAGAGGGCTCCAGATGTGGCCTAACTAAAGCAGAGGGCAGTAGCAGGATTCATACTTCTTGTGGTCTAAATATTGCATTTGTTTTCTGAACAAACTGTTCATTAAAACAGTTGTTTATTGGCTGGGCGCAATGGCTCATGCCTGTAATCCCAGCACTTTGGGATGCTGAGGTGGGCGGATCACGAGGTCAGGAGATCAAAACCATCCTGGCTAACATGGTGAAACCCCATCTCTACTAAAAAAAAAAAATACAAAAAATTAGCTGGGCGTGGTGGCAGGCGCCTGTAGTCCCAGCTACTCAGGAGGCTGAGGCAAGAGAATGGCGTGAACTGGGAGGCAGAGCTTGCAGTGAGCTGAGATCGTGCCACTGCACTCCAGCCTGGGTGACAGAGCGAGACTCCGTGTCAAAACAAAACAAAATAGTTGTTTATTAAAACATATATATATATATATATATATATATATATATATATATATTTGAGACGGAGTCTCTGTCACCCAGGCTGGAGTGCAGTGGCACAATCTCAGCTCACTGCAACCTCCGCCTCCTGGTTTCAAGCAATTTTCCTGCCTCAGCCTCCTGAGTAGCTGGGATTACAGGTGTGCACTACCACACCTGGCTAATTTTTGTAATTTTAGTAGAGACAGGGTTTCACCATGTTGTTCAGACTGGTCTTGATCTCCTGACCTTGTGATCCACCCACCTCGGCCTCCCACAGTGCTGGGATTACAGGTGTGAGCCATCACACCCGGCCTATTAAAACATATTTTGTAAAATGCTTGGTGTAAACTGTCTATACTGCATTGAGAAAAATCTTAAAGAACAGGAGTTTCCATGGCTGGGATAAATTTGAAAAAGATATTTTTCTATCTGACAAGTTATGGCCAGAGAGAAAGGGTATAAGTGAAATGCCTTACCACTCTTAAAAATCAAGAATAACCAAAAATGGATGAAGAAATAGAAAGAACTATGGTGAAGGAATTTGAATGCAGCGTGGTATCATGAGTGAGATATGGGCAGAGATGAGCAGAAGCCAACTCAAGGCCACAAAGAGATGGAGTCCCAGAGCACCTCCTTTTCATAATATCCAGTGCGTGTGTTGGGAGTAGGAAACATGGCCTATAAGGGTAACACGATAAATATTCCCAAGTGTATTAGTCAGGGTACTCCAGACAAACAGAACCACTAAGAGACAGATAATTAGATGACAGAGACAGAGAGAGATGAGAGGGACTCATTATGCAAATTGGCTCGCACGGTTATGGAGGCCAAGAGGTCCCATGATCTGCCATCTGCAAGCTGGAGAACCAGAAAAGCTGGTGATATGATTTAGCCCAAGTCTGAAGGCCTGAGAACCAAGAGCGCTGATGCCTGAGGACAGGAGAAAACGAAGGTCCCACCTCAAACAGAGGAAATGAATTCACTCTTCCTCTGCCTTTTTATTCTGTTCAGGCCTTCAAACTATTGAATGGCACCCACTCACATTGGTGAGGGCAGAGCTTCTTTACTTAGTCCACTGATTCGAATGCTAATCTTTTCTGGAAACATCCTCAGAGATACACCCAGAAATATTGTTTTACCTGCCACCTGGACATCCCTTAAGCCAGTCAAGTAGACATATAAAATTAATCTCCACATTGACAAAATCAGCTGAAGCATTTATAAACATCATCTTCATTGACAGTTGCCAAATACCATTATGGTTTTGATGATTTTCACATGAAACATTTGATCCTAACCGATCCAGTTGTTAGTATTATTCACAAATTATTTCTGGCTTTCATTTTCTAGACATTGAACTTCACTTCCTCCTTGGAAGCTAGATTTGGCCATGTGATTAGCTACAGTTAATGTTTGTAAGTGGAAGCCTTAAAAGTTGATGTGCAATTTGCTACACTCCCTTCCCACTGCCAAATGTTGGTGAAAACGTGTCAAGATGATGCCTCTGCCAGCTTGAGTCTTCATACCCTTCTTCTGACTTGCTTTGGACATGTAGTATCATGGAGAACTAGGATTTCAAACTGGATCATTTTGAGGGTAAAAGGGACAACAGGCACAATTTGACAATGTATGTTCATCCTAGTGAAACTTGTAATGTTAAGCCACTGAGACCTGGGGGTTGTTTTTTTACCGCAGCGTAACCTAGCCTATCTTGATTGATATATAAATGCATGTATAGAAATGCTCAATAACTCATTCATAGAAGTGCAACAAATGACTCATGTTGCACTATAACTGTGTGAGGTTGGTAAGAAAATGGATTCTAACATCTAGGCCTAAGGTGAGTCAGCTACATGGACACTGACAAGTGAGTAACCTGCTGGGATCAAGAGCTCTTGGCTTCCAAGTGAAGGCTCTTTTTCAGATCTTTCCAAGGAAATGTTACCAAGGAGCTACATTCAGGACAAAAGCTGCTGACATGAGAAAAGGGTTAGTATAGCCCAGAAAGACTAGCCTCGGTCTTGTCTGTATGACCGTATATGCTTAAGAGTATGGCACCAAGTTTTTACCGTGGAGGAGCCTGAGCCAACCTACAGAATGTTTGATTTGACCAGCAGAGTATTGTAGACAAAACATGAATTTGCAGCCCTTTCAGTTGAGGAAGCACTCTCAGCTTTGCCACTGCCCTTTGTTTCTTTCTGTCATTTGATCCTGCTCTTTTCCACTTCTTCACCTCAGTTGTATTACCTGCCTGGCTTTTGAAGACATTTGAGTTTGGACCTCTGCAGGGAACCATTGTACCTGAGATGGAAAGCACAGCAGCCCGCATGGACAGAAACAGGGCACTTCACCTCTGCAGTGTTCCTTCCATAACCCCAGTCTAATCATAAGCAAAATAATCAGACAAACCCAGATTAGGAGACATCCTACAGGATACCTGGACAGCATTCCTAAAGCCTGTCAGGGTCACAAAAAACAAGGAAAGACTGAAGACTGTCATAGGCCAGAAGCAAATGGAGAGACATGGCAACTAAATGCAATGTAGTGTCCTGGATCAGATACTAGAATAGTAAGTAACAGGTCATCAATAGGAACACTGGTGAAGTCTGAAGAATGTCTGGAATTTAGATAACAGTTACGTACCAATAATGGGCTCTTAGTTTTGACAAATGTACCATGGTAATGTAAGACATTAACAATGGGAGAAACTGGGTGAGGGGTATACAGGAATTCTCTTTGCTTATATGTGTGACTTTTCTGTAAATCTAAAATTATTCCAACATAAAAAATTTAAAAATCCTTCTTTGTATAGCGATGAAAATGGAATGAGCCCATCCAGAACCCATTTCTTCCCTTCTCTCCACATTCCAGATACTTGAGATGCAGTAATTCTTTGCTCACATGTCTCCAGACCTACACAGGACTCTTCTACATCTCCATCTTCCACATGGAGACTATGCTACCATTATAAATCTGTCTAGGCCCCTGTGGTCCCCAAAAGGAGGCTGTTTACAAGCTCGTGTGGACAGGGCTTGGATAGGGAAGCCAGTGTGCCTATGTGCAGGAGGCTCCTTGTGGGGTCGGATGAAGCCAGGGGATGGGAAAAGAGGGTGAGTGGGCTGCCAGTGGGGATCCCTAGCTGTCCCAGGTCATCACATTCTGGGGAGAACTCTGAGAAGTCCAAGAAGGCTGCAGCTGAGCTTGGCCTCTCAGATCTTTACACATATTTATGAAAAGTAGGAGGACGGAACATATTAATTCATCAGTCTCTTAGCTTGATGTAAAACTTTTAGGTATCCAGACATATGGTGCGTGGGCCTCCACTGGTATCTGAGTGGGAAGACACATGGGCCAGGTGCTGTGAATCTCTCTCCGCACCTGCTAGAAGTGGTGCTCAGGGCTGTTGCCCTTCACCTTGCTTTGCAGTGTATATTTCTTAGTAGAGGTTGCAGAAGCCCAATCAAACAAGCAGAATATGGCACAGCAGCCTCAGGACAGAATTCACCCTCCCTCTACCCCACGTCGCATCCCAGGGCAGGAAATATTACCCAAGTGGGGATAAAGGATATCACGGCTTTTTGTACAAAAGGTCCACATGTCAAAATACATGTGGTTGGCTTTAAACACAAGGAGAAAGACACAAAAGGATCCTGGTTGAAGTCTTATGGGAAAAATGACCAGGACCAATGCTGAAGTTTTATCAAGGAGCAGGCATATCTTTGCTCTGCAGGAACTGGGGAAATGTGTATATGTGTGTGTTGAAGGGATGGGGACCAATCCACTCCAAGGTCAGATCTGCTCTGAAAGCCAGGCCACTGTGCCCCACGTTTTCAGAATAAGGCATCAGATCCCACCCAGGGAACAGCATCTGGGGTCACCGTGTGGCCTTCACCTTCACCTGCCTCCTCTAGACTCAGAACATGTTAGAGAGCTCCACAGTGGACACCTTTATATAAACATAAAATACAAAAATACAGAAAGCATATATTTATAAACAATAAATAAATAGGTAAACATAATAAAATTTAAATAAATACGCATAAATAGAATACACATTTTATAAAAAGGAAGCCTGCAGAAGACACACGGCTTTCCTAACACACATAACGCCCAGGCCGGCCAGGCCGGCCAGGCACTTCCAGCTGCCTCCGGCACACCGCCACTAGGGGGAGCGGGGTCCCTGCACTTCCTGTGGTGGTGGTGGTTATTCTCCAAGACATTTTAAAGGCCCCACTTCATCCTCTTTTTTATTTTTCCCACTCTCCTGCCCACAGAGCCCAGAACAAGGGGGAAATGGAAACAATGAGAGAAGACATATTTTCTCCTAACAGTAGGTTCTCACTCAAGTCTCGCCCACCCCGGGGAATTCTGACTCAGTTGGTCTAACTAGGGTATAGTCTGGGCATCAGGAGTTTTGAAGTTCCTTGCATTGTTCTGCTGCTCTAACACCCCCACACCTGGGAAGACGTTTTCTGTTTTAGGCCAACGTTTCCCAAACTGCCATGCCACTGAGACTTCATTCAGGAGAAAGACATCCTTGGGCATCCTTTCAGCAGCACTGGGCAAATCCATGCTATAAGTGTAGACACAATAATGGTGAACTTATACTTCATGCAGTGTCAATAGACACATAATACTCTCCCCCATTGCTTGCTATTAGCACCATATTTGGCACAGATAAAAATCAATATAAAAATAGCTTACTGCGAGGGCTAGAACTTAAATACCTAAACTATTTCACTATTTTAAAAAACACAACCTAAGGCAATAATTTGTTTCAAGACTTTAAAGTGCTAAGTAAATATTTTAAATTGTAAAATTATGATACGTATTCTTGATAATTACTAGGCTTTTCATTTGCACAGAGGTCCTTTGCATATGAATCTGAAGGCACCAAGTGTTTTTTTTTTTTTTTTCCAGAAAATATGTAAGGAATCTTGAAGGGTAGACTCAACTCCTTGGAATGCTCTTCACTGATCACTTGTCCTGAGGCCAAAGCAGGCAAAGCCCCAGGGGCAGCTCTAGAATGTCTGTGAGAGACTTAGTCCTAATGCTGACAGCCTGGTGGCACAGACTGCCTGCTAGGCCCATGTCTCCTGCCCCCACTGAACTGTACTTTCCCTCTTTGTTAAAAGGAAGAGAAGCAATCCAGAAAAGAATTTGAAAAAGGAAATGAACTGGAATGTCACTGGTAATAGTCTCTGCCTCTACATGGGGAACAAAGAGAGTTCATCTGATAGGTAAAAAAACAAGGGATGGGTCTGGGCAAGATGGTTCATGCCTGTAATCCGAGCACGTTGGGAGACCAAGGTGGGAAGATCACTTGAGCTCAGGAGTTGGAAACAAGCCTGGGCAACATAGCAAACCTCGTCTCTAAAAATAAAAAACTTAGCTGGGCATAGTGGTGCACTGCACACGTGTGGTCCCTGTCAGGCCTCTGAGTCCAAGCCAAGCCATCACATCCCCTGTGACTTACATGTATATGCCCAGATGGCCTGAAGTAACTGAAGAATCACAAAAGAAGTGAATATGCCCTGCCCCACCTTAACTGATGACATTCCACCACAAAAGAAGTGTAAATGGCTGGTCCTTGCCTTAACTGATGATATTCCACCACAAAAGAAGTGAAAATGGCGGGTCCTTGCCTTATGTGATGACATTACCTTGTGAAAGTCCTTTTCCTGGCTCATCCTGGCTCAAAAATCACCCCCACTGAGCACCTTGCGACCCCCACTCCTGCCCGCCAAAGAACAAATCCCCTTTGACTGTAATTTTCCTTTACCTGCC
This sequence comes from Homo sapiens, assembly GCF_000001405.40. Classification (NCBI taxonomy): domain Eukaryota; kingdom Metazoa; phylum Chordata; class Mammalia; order Primates; family Hominidae; genus Homo; species Homo sapiens. The sequence continues at coordinate 170,688,946 of NC_000003.12, read as the reverse complement.
CAAATCTTATAAAACGGCCCCACCCCTATCTCCCTTCGCTGACTCTCTTTTCGGACTCAGCCTGCCTGCACCCAGATGATTGAAAGCTTTATTGCTCACACAAAGCCTGTTTCGTGGTCTCTTCACACGGACACGCATGAAATTTGGTGCCGTGACTCAGATCGGGGGGCCTCCCTTGAGAGATCAATCCCCTGTCCTCCTGCTCTTTGCTCCATGAGAAAGATTCACCTATGACCTCAGGTCCGCAGACCGACCAGCCCAAGAAACATCTCACCAATTTCAAATCTGGTAAGCAGCCTCTTTTTACTCTCTTCTCCAACCTCCCTCACTATCCCTCAACCTCTTTCTCCTTTCAATCTTGGTGCCACACTTCAATCTCTCCCTTCTCTTAATTTCAATTCCTTTCATTTTCTGGTAGAGACAAAGGAGACACATTTTATCCTTGGACCCAAAACTCCGGCGCCGGTCATGGACTAGGGAAGGCAGCCTTCTCTTGGTGTTTAATCATTGCAGGGATGCCTCTCTAGTTATTCACTCAGGTTTCAGAGGTGTCAGACCACACAGGGATGCCTGCCTTGGTCTTTCACTCTTAGCGGCAAGTCCTGCTTTTCTGGGGGAGGGGCAAGTACCCCAACCCCTTCTCTCCATGTCTCTACCCCTTCTCTGCCTTTCTGGGGGGCAAGAAACCCCTGACCCCTTCTCCTTCACTCTTAGTGGCAAGTCCTGCTTTTCTAGGGGAGGGGGAAGTACCCCAACCCCTTCTCTGTGTCTCTACCCCTTCTCCTCCTTTCTGGGGGGCAAGAAACCCCCAACCCCTTCTCCTTCACCCTTAGTGGCAAGTTCTGCTTTTCTGGGAGAGTGGCAAGTACCCCAACCTCATATCTCTGCACCCCAATCCCTTATTTCCATGCCCCGACTACTTATATCTCTGCACCCTGATCCCTTATTTCCATGCCCCAACCTCTTATATCTCTGCACCCCTATCCTTTATTTCCATGCCCTGACCTCGTATCTCTGTGCCCTGACCCCTTTCCTGCTTTTCTGGAGGGTAAGAACCCCCGAATCCCTTCCCTCCATGTCTCTACTCTCCCTTCTCTCTGGACTTGCTTCCTTCACTATGGGCAACCTTCCACCTTCCATTCCTCCTTCTTCTCCCTTAGCCTGTGTTCTCAAAAACTTAAAAGCTCTTCAACTCACACCTGACCTAAAACCTAAATGCCTTATTTTCTTCTGCAATGCCACTTGACCCCAATACAAACTCGACAGTAGTTCCAAATAGCCAGAAAACGGCACTTTCAATTTTTCCATCCTGCAAGATCTAAATAATTCTTGTCATAAAATAGGCAAACGGTCTGAGGTGCCTGACGACCAGACATTCTTTTACACATTGGTCCCTTCCTAGTCTCTGTGCCCGTGCAACTCGTCCCAAATCTTCCTTTTTTCCCTCCCGCCTGTCCCCTCAATCCCAACCCCAAGCTTCACTGAGTCTTTCTAATCTTCCTTTTCTACAGACCCATCTGACCTTTCCCCTCCTCCCCAGGCTGCTCCTCGCCAGGCCGAGCTAGGTCCCAATTCTTCCTCAACCTCCGCTCCTCCACCCTATAATCTTTTTATCACCTCCCCTCCTCACACCTGGTCCGGTTTACAGTTTCATTCCGTGAGTAGCCCTCCCCCACCTGCCCAGCAATTTCCTCTTAAAAAGGTGGCTGAAGCTAAAGGCATAGTCAAGGTTAATGCTCCTTTTTCCTTATCAGACCTCTCCCAAATCGTGAGCATTTAGGCTCTTTCATCAAATATGAAAAACCCAGCCCAGTTCATGGCTCATTCGGCAGCATCCCTGAGACGCTTTACAGCCCTAAACCCTAAAATGTCAAAAGGCCGTCTTATTCTCAATATACATTTTATTACCCAATCTGCTCCTAACATTAAATAAAACTCGAAAAATTAAATTCCAGCCCTGAAACCCCACAACACGACTTAATTAACCTCACCTTCAAGGTGTACAATAATAGAGGCATCCAAGTAGCAACATATTTCTGAGTTGCAATTCCTTGCCTCCACTGTGAGACAAACCCCAGCCACATCTCCAGCACACAAGAACTCCAAACGCCTGAACCGCAGTGGCCAGGGGTTCCTCCAGAACCTCCTCCCCCAGGAGCTTGCTACAAGTGCTGGAAATCTGGCCACTGGGCTAAGGAATGCCCAGAGCCCAGGATTCCTCCTAAGCCATGTCCCATCTGTGCAGGACCCCACTGAAAATCAGACTGTTCAGCTCACCTGGCAGCCACTCCCAGAGCCTCTGGAACTCTGGCCCAAGGCTCTTTGACTAACTGCTTCCCAGATCTCAGCTTAGCAGCTGAAGACTGACACTGCCAGATCGCCTGAAGCCTACAAGACCATTACAGACACTCTGGGTAACTCTCACAGTGGAAAGTAAGTCCGTCCCCTTCTTAATCAATACGGAGGCTACCCACCCCACATTACCTTATTTTCAAAGGCCTGTTTCCCTTGCTTCCATAACTGCTGTAGGTATTGACGGCCAGGCTTTTAAACCTGTTAAAACTCCCCAACTCTGGTGCCAACTTAGACAATATTCTTTTAAGCACTCCTTTTTAGTTATCCCCACCTGCCCAGTTCCCTTATTAGGCTAAGACATTTTAACTAAATTATCTGCTTCCCTGACTGTTCCCAGACTACAGCCACACGTCATTGCTGCCCTTTTCCCCAGTTCAAGGCCTCCTTTGCATCCTCCTCTCATATCACCCCATCTTAACCCACAAGTATAAGATACCTCTACTCCCTCCTTGGCGACCGATCATGCACCCCTTACCATCTCATTAAAACCTAATCACCCTTACCCCCCTCAATGCCAATATCCCATCCCACAGCACGCTTTAAAAAGATTAAAGCCTGTTATCACTTGCCTGATACAGCATGGCCTTTTAAAGCCTATAAACTCCCCTTACAATTCCCCCATTTCACCTGTCCTAAAACCAGCCAAGGCTTACAGGTTAGTTCAGAATCTGTGCCTTATCAATCAAATTGTTTTGCCTATCCACCCCGTGGTGCCAAACCCATATACTCTCCTATCCTCAGTACCTCCCTCTGCAACCCATTATTCTGTTCTGGATCTCAAACATGCTTTCTTTACTATTCCTTTGCACCCTTCATCCCAGCCTCTCTTCGCTTTCACTTAGACTGACCCTGACACCCATTAGGCTCAGCAAATTACCTGGGCTGTACTGCCGCAAGGCTTCACAGATAGCCCCCATTACTTCAGCCAAGCCCAAATTTCATCCTCATCTGTTACCTATCTCGGCATAATTCTCATAAAAACACATGCTCTCCCTGCTGATTGTGTCCGATTAATCTCCCAAACCTCAATCCCTTACAAAACAACAACTCCTTTCCTTCCTAGGCATGGTTAGTGTGGTCAGAATTCTTACACAAGAGCCAGGTACGCACCCTGTAGCCTTTCTGTCCAAACAACTTGACCTTACTGTTTTAGCCTAGCCCTCACGTATGTGTGCAGCAGCTGCCGCTGCTTTAATACTTTTAGAGGCCCTAAAAATCACAAACTATGCTCAACTCACTCTCTACATTTCTCAAAACTTCCAAAATCTATTTTCTTCCTCATAGCTGATGCATATACTTTCTGCTCCCCGGCTCCTTCAGCTGTACTCACTCTTTGTTAAGTCCCACAGTTATCATTGTTCCTGGCCTGGACTTCAATCTGGCCTCCCACATTATTCCTGATACCACACCTGACCCCCATGATTGTATCTCTCTGATCCACCTGACATTCACCCCATTTCCCCATATTTCCTTCTTTCCTGTTCCTCACCCTGATCACGCTTGATTTATTGATGGCAGTTCCACCAGACCCAATCGCCACACTCCAGCAAAGGCAGGCTATGCTATAGTACAAGCCACTAGCCTGCCTCTCAGAACCTCTCATTTCCTTTCCATCATGGAAATCTATCCTCAAGGAAACAACTTCTCAGTGTTCCATCTGCTATTCTACTACTCCTCAGGGATTATTCAGGCCCCCTGCCTTCCCTACACATCAAGCTTGAGAATTTGCCCCCACCCAGGACTGGCAAATTAGCTTTACTCAACATGCCCTGAGTCAGATAACTAAAATACCTCTTAGTCTAGGTAGACACTTTCACTGGATAGGTACAGGCCTTTCCTACAGGGTCTGAGAAGGCCACCGCAGTCATTTCTTCCCTTCTGTCAGACATAATTCCTCAGTTTAGCCTTCCCACCTCTATACAGTCTGATAACGGACCAGCCTTTATTAGTCAAATCAGCCAAGCATTTTTTCAGGCTCTCAGTATTCAGTGAAACCTTTATATCCCTTATGGTCCTCCGTCTTCAAGAAAAGTAGAATGGACTAAAGGTCTTTTAAAAACACACCTCACCAAGCTCAGCCGCCAACTTAAAAAGGACTGGACAATACTTTTACCACTTTCCCTTCTCAGAATTCAGGCCTGTCCTCAGAATGCTACAAGGTACAGCCCATTTAAGCTCCCGTATAGACGCTCCTTTTTATTAGGCCCCAGTCTCATTCCAGACACCAGACCAACTTAGACTGCGCCCCAAAAAAACTTGTCATCCCTACTTTCTTCTATCTAGTCACACTCCTATTCACCATTCTCAACTACTCATACATGCCCTGCTCTTGTTTACACTGCCAGTTTACACTGTTTCTCCAAGCCATCACAGCTGATATCTCTTGGTGTTATCCCCAAACCACCACTCTTAATTCCCTCTTAGAGTGGATAGATGATCTTTGCCGGCAGGGCACCCTCCAATATTTCCACCCTGATGAATTTCTATTCTTTACTTTTATACTCACTCTTATTCTCATTCCCATTCTTATGCCACCCTCTACCTCTCCCCAGCTATCTCCACCACACTATCAACCTTACCCATTCTCTCCTAGCCACAACTGCTGGCGAACAGCAGTTGGCTTTGCATTTCCCTTTCTTCCAGTGCCTACATAGCTGTCCCCGCCTTACAGACAGACTGGGCAACATCTCCTGTCTCCTTACACCTCTGAACTTCCTTTAACAGCCCTCACCTTTACCCTCCTGAAGAACTCATTTACTTTCTAGACAGGTCCAGCAAGACCTCCCCAGACATTTCACATCAGCAAGCTGCCGCCCTCCTCCGCACTTATTTAAAAAACCTTTCTCCTTATATTACTCTACTCTCCCCATATTTGGACCTTTCACAACACAAACTAGTATTCCTGTGGCCGCTCCTTTATGTATCTCTCAGCAAAGACCCACTGGAATTCCCCTGGGTAACCTTTCACCTTCTCGATGTTCCTTTACTCTTCATCTCTGAAGCCCAACTACACACATCACTGAAACAATTGGAGCCTTTCAGCTCCATATTACAGACAAGCCCTCTATCAATACTGACAAACTTAAAAATGTTAGCAGTAATTATTGCTTAGGAAGACACTTACCCTGTATTTCACTCCATCCTTGCCTATCTTCCCCTTGCTCGTCAGACTCTCCTCCCAGGCCCTCTTCTTGTTTACTTATACCCAGCCCCGAAAAAAACAGTGAAAGGTTGCTCGTAGATACTCAACGTTTTCTCATACACCATGAAAATCGAACCTCCTCCTCTATGCAGTGACCCCATCAGTCCCCATTACAATCTCTGACAGCTGCTGCCCTAGCTGGATCCCTAGGAGTCTGGGTACAAGACACCCCTTTCAGCCCTCCTTCTCACCTTTTTAGTTTACATCTCCAGTTTTGCCTCACACAAGGTCTCTTCTTCCTCTGTGGATCCTCTACCTACATGTGTCTACCTGCTAATTGGACAGGCACATGCACACTAGTTTTCCTTACCCCCAAAATTCAATTTGCAAATGGGACCGAAGAGCTCCCTGTTCCCCTCATGACACCGACATGACAAAAAAGAGTTATTCCACTAGTTCCCTTGATGGTCAGTTTAGGACTTTCTGCCTCCACTATTGTTCTCGGTACTGGAATAGCAGGCATTTCAACCTCTGTCACGACCTTCCGTAGCCTGTCTAATGACTTCTCTGCTAGCATTACAGACATATCACAAACTTTATCAGTCCTCCAGGCCCAATTTGACTCTTTAGCTGCAATTGTCCTCCAAAACCGCTGAGGCCTTGACTTACTCACTGCTGAGAAAGGAGGACTCCGTATTTTCTTAAATGAAGAGTGTTGTTTTTACCTAAATCAATCTGGCCTGGTGTATGACAACATAAAAAAATTCAAGGATAGAGCCCAAAAACTTGCCAACCAAGCAAGTAATTACGCTGAACCCCCTTGGGCACTCTCTAATTGGATGTCCTGGGTCCTCCCAATTCTTACTCCTTTAATACTCATTTTTCTCCTTTTATTCGGACCTTGTATCTTCCGTTTAGTTTCTCAATTCATTCAAAACCGTATCCAGGCCATCACCAATCATCCTATACGACAAATGTTTCTTCTAACAACCCCACAATATCACCCCTTACCACAAGATCTCCCTTCAGCTTAATTTCTCCCACTCTAGTTCCCACGTCACCCCTAATCCTGCCTGAAGCAGCCCTGAGAAACATCGTCCATTCTCTCTCTCCATACCACCCCCCAAAAATTTTCACTGCCCCAACACTTCAACACTGTTTTATTTTTCTTATTAATATAAGAAGGCAGGAATGTCAGGCCTCTGAGCCCAAGCCAAGCCATCACATCCCCTGTGACTTGCACGTATATGCCCAGATGGCCTGAAGTAACTGAAGAATCACAAAAGAAGTGAATATGCCCTGCCCCACCTTAACTGATGACATTCCACCACAAAAGAAGTGTAAATGGCCGGTCCTTGCCTTAACTGATGATATTCCACCACAAAAGAAGTGAAAATGTCCAGTCTTTGCCTTAAGTGATGACATAACCTTGTGAAAGTCCTTTTCCTGGCTCATCCTGGCTCAAAAAGCACCCCCACTGAGCACCTTGCGACCCCCACTTCTGCCCGCCAGAGAACAAATCCCCTTTGACTGTAATTTTCCTTTACCTGCCCTAATCTTATAAAACGGCCCCACCCCTATCTCCCTTCGCTGACTCTCTTTTTGGACTCAGCCTGCCTGCACTCAGGTGATTAAAAGCTTTATTGCTCTCACAAAGCCTGTTTGGTGGTCTCTTCACATGGATGCACATGAAAGTCCCAGCTACTCAGGAGGCTGAAGTGGGAGGATTGCCTGAACCTGGGAGGTTGAGGCTGCAATGAGCTATGATCGTGCCACTGCACTCCAGCCTGGGTGACAGAGTGAGACCCCATTTCAAAAAAAAAAGGAGGGGAGGTGGCATGGTTTGATGACAAGGAAGAGATTAAGAGTCATTGCAATAATAATATAAGACCATCCAATAGGCTGTTTTTCAATTTATAATGGCATTTGTTCTTTAGCGATTGAAAAACAAAGTCATTTTCCACTTCACTGGTGATAAGTCAATATTTTTATTACAAAGAATGACTGCTTTCTTCTTTTTCCTTTTGCCTAAATGAAATTCTTAATTGATTGGCATTTAACTATGTAAAGCATTCAAACAGAAGTGTTAGGAAGACATCTCTCACTCAGCTCAGAACAATATATTCTTAAGAATGTATTGCCTCAATGTGGAAGCCATTCTATAGCGTGGGCACTTTGCCGCTGCTGTCAGATCCTGCCAGGTACCTGTTACAGACGGCCAAAGGAGAGTCCTCAGAAACCTCTGACGTAGACAAGAGATGATCAGTGTCAAACACTCTAAATAAATCCTCAAAACAACTCTGGAATTTGTCCAAAAACAAAATCCCAGCAAGTTTAGTTTAAAGGTATAATTGGCGGGAACATATTGTAAGGACAGAAGTATAAAAATGAATTACTAATCATTCAAAAAGAAAAAAAATTTAAGGCATAGTTGGCTTTTTTAGTCATTCATTAATCAGAAACAGCTTATCTCAGATTTAGAAAGGTGCTCCAGTGAGCTGGGCAGAAGAGGTGGGCTTCATAGGCAGAAAAGACTGATGAAAGCTAAAATGAGGAACAAAAAGCAAACTGGTCATTACAAAGCTGTTTTCCTTATAGAATTAAAACAGTGGGGACCTCCTTATCATGCTGGCTCAGACAGACTGGGCCCCTTTTGATTGGCTGATGTGAATCTCCTGTTTTTTGGAAAACTGGCTCATTTTAAACTTTAGTTTGACTATGTAGCACCTAGCACAAGTGACTGCACTCTGGTTTTGTCTTGTTTGTTGGGGCCTGAAGGAGGAGTTACTCCAAAACAATGGCCTCCCATAAATATAACAAAGTTATAACTATTTCCATTTCACAGATTGACATATCAGGTCAGTAAATAAAGGCAGAGAGAAAAACAAAGTCCAATAAATAACATGCCTATCATAGGGAAATAGATGGGTTAGGTTTTCAGTAGAGCTTTAATAAATCTATGTTAGTTTGAATTATAACATCTATGGAGGGCAGTTTGGCACTACCTATCAAAACATAACTGTGCTTACCCCATAACACAACAGTTCCACATACTGGGATTTAGCCCACAGATACATGCATACCTACAAGAAGTGCACGTGTATCATATCCATTTTAGCAGTGTTGAAATAGCAAATCTTGGAAGTCTACTATGAATGAGTGCCAATAATAGACTGGTTAAATCACTTTATGGCACATCCATCAATAGAATATTGTGCAGCCATTAAAAATGAGGCCGCTTTTTCTGATGTAGAAAGATCTTTAAGGTATGTTAAATGAAAAAAGAAGATATGGAACAGTGTGAATGTTTGTATAAAGAGTAAGCATTTATGAATTTACATGTATTTTTATATTCACATATATTATATATTTATAGGCTATCTTCAGAAGGATGCATAAGAACCTAGTAAGATAGCCTGCCTCCTGTGAGGGAAGCTGAGTGACTTTGGTGACTAGAGGGAAAGAAACTTTTCACTTTGTACCTTTTGAATTTTGTACCATGTCCAGGTACTATTTAGGAAAACAATTGTTTTTAACAATTTAAAAGAGGTCTATAATCCTCTGCTGAGGCCCAAGGAGGTAAACCACAAGCCCAAGGTCACAAAAGGTGGGAAGAAACGAAACCAGGGATTAGCACTGGATTCGTCTGATTCCCACATCCACACACTTTCCTCAGCACCACGCTGCTGTTCGTCCAATTCTCCTCTGCATCACAGCTAATGATGAGATCCTAAGGCTGAAATAGAGCTCTCACCATCTAAAGGGGCCCATTTCCCACCTTCAGCAGGAATATTTTGAACTTAACCTGAAAGAGACCTGCCTCTTACTAAAAGAAATCCAGGAAGGAGATTACCTTAGTTTTCCTGTTTCAGTATCTTACGAATAATTTTATTTAGCAAAGCTTCTTTTCAACATTTGGTAGCAAACCAAGCTCCTGAATAATTTACAAAATAAAAATTTCATAAACCTATACTGTGGCTTCAAGTTAGCACCTTGAAATACTGATTCATTCATTTCAAGAGCGTTTATTGGGCTTGGAGGCCTGTTGGGAGATGAGTTGAGCATGCAGGAATCTACGATATGAGGAAGAATGTGATGCCAACTATAAGCAAGACAGGCAGGAGGCTCCTTCAGAGCCCAGGTCACATGCCACAGGTCCATAGGGCCCAGCCAGTGCCATGAGTGAGCAGCAGGGCCCCTGGGGGCATGGAAAGCTCAAGCCCTGTCTCAAGGGGCAACCACTGCTCCCCTCTCCTCTATCAATGCCTTATGGGAATGAGGGATCCATGTTGTTTATCTTCCTATTTCATGTGGAATCTCTTAACTTTTATGTAGTGGCTTATAAATTTTAAAAGCCACCAGGCATCTCAGATAAAATGTGTCTGTGGGTAAGTTTGAAAGTCTTGCTGTAGTGTTTTCATGCACTTCCTAGAATTCCCCCATGGACAAAGAGGCAGTTCAATGTTTGGGCCAAAATCAAAAGCCCTTTTCTCAGTCTGGGTGTAGAGAAAACTCCCAGTGTGGTAGCCTTGTTCTCTTGGCCCTGATTTCCCCTTACCCTGTCACCATTTCCTTAGACTGTCCTTGCAGACAAATCTTCAACTCTGAATTTCCAGAGCAAATTTTCCCAAAGGGTTTTCTGCAGCCCACCTCTCACAGACATGTCTTATCTTTAAGAGCTGCTCATGGGGTAACTATTCCTGTAATAATGGTGATGTCCTGGATGTGATACATTGCTGTCTTACCAACTGCTCACACCTAGTGAAAAAACAGTAGTGAAAGCCATCTTTGTCCCCAGGTATCTTCATTATTGACTTTAATTCAGGGCTTTCCTCGCTTAGAATTGCCATGGCATTGGAAGGGTCAGGAGAAGGGACTAAGCTCTAGAATTTTGAGAATTTTCTAAAGAGAACTTGAATATGGGGGCAGACTAGTCTTCTAGCCAAGAAACTTGGGTTTCAGCCCTTGTTCTGCTGCTGTGTGACCCTGGGCAAGTCATTGTTGCCAGTTAAATATCCATTTGCTCCTCGATACAATGCAGACTCTGATGAGAATATCCCTAATGTCCCTTCTGGCCCTTGTTGTCGAGTTTCCCTGATCCTGATCTGAGTGGACTTAGTGGACATAGAGAAAGCTACTCTCAGTAAGAACTTGGTGGATTGACACATGGCTGATTTAAATAATAACTGTCAGGGCTCTGAGCCCAAGCTAAGCCATCATATCCTCTGTGACCTGCACGTATACATCCAGATGGCCGGTTCCTGCCTTAACTGATGACATTCCACCACAAAAGAAGTGAAAATGGCCTGTTCCTGCGTTAACTGATGACATTGTCTTGTGAAATTCCTTCTCCTGGCTCATCCTGGCTCAAAAGCTCCCCTACTGAACACCTTGTGACCCCCCACTCCTGCCCACCAGAGAACAACTCCCTTTGACTGTAATTTTCCTTTACCTACCCAAATCTTATAAAACGGCCCCACCCCTGTCTCCTTTCACTGACTCTCTTTTTGGACTCAGCCCGCCTGCACCCAGGTGAAATAAACAGCCATGTTGCTCACACAAAGCCTGTTTGGTGGTCTCTTCACACGGACACGCATGAAATTTGGTGCTGTGACTCAGATCAGGGGACCTCCTTTGGGAGATCAATCCTCTGTCCTCTTGCTCTTTGCTCTGTGTAAAAGATCCACCTACGACCTCAGGTCCTCAGACCCACCAGCCCAAGGAACATCTCACCAATTTTAAATCGGGTAAGCGGCCTCTTCTTACTCTCTTCTCCAACCTCTCTCACTAACCGTCAGCCACTTTCTCCTTTCCACTCTTCTGTCTCTCCCTTCTCTTAATTTCAATTCCTTTCATTTTCTGGTAGAGACAAAGGAGACACATTTTATCTGCGAACCCAAAACTCCGGCGCCGGTCATGGGCTGGGAAGGCAGCCTTCCCTTGGTGTTTAATCATTGCAGGGATGCCTCTCTGATTATTCACCCATGTTTCAGAGGTGTCAGACCATGCAGGGATGCCTGCCTTGGTCCTTCACCCTTAGCGGCAAGTCCCATTTTTTGGGGGGAGAGGCAAGTACCCCAACCCCTTCTCTCCATGTCTCTACCCCTTCTCCACCTTTCTGGGGGGCAAGAAACCCCCAACCCCTTCTCCTTCACCCTTAGTGGCAAGTCCTGCTTTTCTGGGGGAGGGGCAAGTACCCCAACCTCGTATCTCTGCACCCCATCCCTTATTTCCATGCCCTGACCTCTTATATGTCTGCACCCTGATCCCTTATTTCCATGCCCCAACCTCTTATATCTCTGTGCCCTGATCCCTTATTTCCATGCCCCGACCTCATATCTCTGTGCCCCAACCCCTTTCCCGCTTTTCTGGAGGGTAAGAACCCCCGAACCCCTTCCCTCCGTGTCTCTACTCTTACTTTTCTTTAAACTTGCCTCCTTCACTATAGGCAACCTTCCATCCTCCATTCCTCCTTCTTCTCCCTTAGCCTGTGTTCTTAAGAACATAAAACCTCTTCAACTCTCACCGGACCTAAAACCTAAATGCCTTATTTTCTTCTACAATGCCACATGACCCCAATACAAACTCAACAGTGGTTCTAAATGGCCAGAAAATGGCACTTTCGATTTCTCCATCCTACAAGATCTAAATAATTTTTGTCAAAAAATAGGCAAATGGTCTGAGGTGCCTGATGCCCAGGAACTCTTTTACACATAGTCCCTCTCTAGTCTCTGTTCCCAATGCAACTAGTCCCAAATCTTCCTTCTTTCCCTCCCTCCTGTCCCCTCAGTCCAAACCCCAAGTGTCGCTGAGTCTTTGTAATCTTCCTTTTCTACAGACCCATCTGACCTCTCCCCTCCTCCCCAGGCCAAGCTAGGTCCCAATTCTTCCTCAGCCTCTGCTCCTCCACCCTATAATCTTTTTATCACCTCCCCTCCTCACACCTGGTCTGGCTTACAGTTTCATTCCATGACTAGCCCTCCCCCACCTGCCCAGCAATTTACTCTTAAAAAGGTGGCTGGAGCTAAAGGCATAGTCAAGGTTAATGCTCCTTTTTCTTTATCCCAAATTAGTTAGATTTAGGCTCTTTTTCATCAAATATAAAAATCCAGCCCAGTTCATGGCTCATTTGGCAGCCACCCTGAAACGCTTTACAGCCCTAGACCCTAAAAAGTCAAAAGGCTGTCTTATTCTCAATATACATTTTATTACCCAATCTGCTCCTGACATTAAATAAAACTCCAAAAATTAAATTCCAGCCCTGAAACCCCACAACAGGATTTAATTAACCTCACCTTCAAGGTGTACAATAATAGAGGCAGCCAAGTAGCAACATATTTCTGAGTTGCAATTCCTTGCCTCCACTGTGAGACAAACCCCAGCCACATCTCCAGCACACAAGAACTTCCAAACGCCTAAACCACAGTGGCCAGGTGTTCCTCCAGAACCACCTTCCCCAGGAGCTTGCTATAAGTGCCAGAAATCTGGACACCAGGCCAAGGAATGCCCACAGCCCAGGATTCCTCCTAAGCCATGTCCCATCTGTGCGGGACCCCACTGGAAATCAGACTGTTCAACTCACATGGCAGCCACTCCCAGAGCCCCTGGAACTCTGGCCCAAGGCTCTCTGACTGACTCCTTCCCAGATCTTCTTGGCTTAGCAGCTGAAGACTGACAGTGCCCGATCGCCTCAGAAGCCTACAGAACCATCACGGACAATCTAGGTAACTCTCACAGTGGAAGGTAAGTCCGTCCCCTTCTCAATCAATATGGAGGCTACCCACTCCACATTACCTTCTTTTCAAGGGCCTGTTTCCCTTGCCTCCATAACTGCTGTAGGTATTGATGGCCAGGCTTCTAAACCTCTTAAAACTCCCCAACTCTGGTGCCAACTTAGACAACACTCTTTTAAGCACTCCTTTTAAGTTATCCCCACCTGCCCAGTTCCGTTATTAGGCCGAGACACTTTAACTAAATTATCTGCTTCCCTGACTATTCCTGGACTACAGCTACATCTCATTGCCGCCCTTCTTCCCAATCCAAAGCCACATTTGTGTCCTCCTCTTGTATCCCCCCAACTTAACCCACAAGTATAAGATACCTCTACTCCCTCCTTGGCAACCGATCATCCACCCCTTACCGTCTCATTAAAACCTAATCACCCTTACCCCGCTCAATA